>NW_021160018.1:300000-396515 GCF_000001405.40 Homo sapiens
CACTCTTACGAGCAGTCCGCCCTGGAGTATCTCTCTCAGGGTGTACTGTATTCTGCACTTAACTTTCAAATATTTTCTTTTCCAATAAATTATGCTGTACTTTTTTTCCTTGTGTCTCTTGTTTAAATTCTTAAAAACTAAGAAGACAAGAACAGAGGTATCACATCAGTTGTCAACACAGCAATAAGTCAGCCTCCTTCTTGTAAGCATAGCCCATGCAGAAAAGGAGAGTCGCATCACCTAGGTGCTGGATCCAGAGATATGTCACAACTTATCCCAGGCACCAAGTTAAGGTCATTGAAGATAGTCGTGTTAAATAGTTTCTGGGCCCAGGGATATGTCACAATGGCTCCTGTGAGCAGAGATCAGGCAGCATAATCACATAACCGGTGTGCTGGACACAGCGATAAGCCACTCTTTCATCTCTGGGCATGACCCAGGCAAGAAAGAAGAGCCACAGCATTTAGGTGCTTGCTGCAGAGTTAAGTAACAATCTCTCTTATGGGCAAAACTCGGGTAAGACAGGAGAGTCAAATCTCCAAGGTGATTCATGTAGAAATTTGTCACAAGAAACTTTTTAGGCAGGGCCCATGTTGGATCTTCTTATCTTCCAGAAGTTAGGTCCAGGGATACGTCAGAATACCCAAAATACACAGGGCTCAGTCAATAAAGGAGAGTCACATCACCCAGGTGCTTGGTCTAGACATATGTCACATCTCTTTTATGGGGAAAGCTCAGGTAAAAAAGGAAGGTCACATCAAATAGTTGATATACCCAGAGATATGTCACTTTGCCTTCTGCTTGAAGTGTCTAGGCCAAAGACTCACATCACCTCGGTGTGAGGCCCGTGTTCATATATAAACATTCAACCAGAGTTGAAATGGTGGCCCACATCTAAACTCAGCTCATAGGCAAGGGAGGACTCTCCTATCCTGACCTAGTTAATTGTAATGATGTTGACTCTCATACCGGGCTTAATGCTACAAGTACGATCATGGGTCCCTACCATTAGGAAGGTCTCAAAGTTGATTACGACTCTCATGCATAGTGTATAGGGCCATTGGGTAGTACACAGAGCTGTGAGATTGTGTACTAACTGGGCCGAGCACACAGGTGAGATTGTGACACTCATATGCACACCCAGCCAACAGTAACTATTGTCATCCTCTCACAGGAACACAGGTCATTCTGCAGAGGAATTGAGACTCTCATGCACAAATCCAGTCTGGTGTTGAGAGGGTTATTCGTGAGCTTAGACCCAACATACAGGAGGTGTTGAATGTCATGCCTACAACTGAGACAGTTGTGGGATTGTTAATCTAATTCCTGGACCATTCTGCAGCTTTCATGGTGAAATTTGCCGGTGCCTAGCACCTGAGTGAATTGATGGTCTCACATGGACCCAGCCCACAGATGGGATATTAACATATTGATGGATCCAGCACATTGAGGGTGTAACTCTATTCTCCTTCCTTGGCACTGCCCACAGTGAGCATTTTGACATATCGCTAGGCCTTGCACCCGGAGATGTGAGTCTCCTCTTCTGCCTTGGCGCTGCCCTCAGGAAGCGTTGTTATATATAGCTTGGCCTCACATCCAGGTTATGTGACTCTCCGGCTTGTGCACTGCCCATATGGGACACTGTGTTATATTGCTGGGTCCACTACTCAGGCGATGTAACCCAACTGCCTGGGCCGTGCCTTACAGGGGCATTGTGACATATCTCTGTGCTCATCAGCCTGGTAATGTGATTCTCTTCTCCTGCCTGGTCCCTTTACACAGAAGGGATTGTGACACGTTGCTGGGCTTAGCACCAAGTTGATGATGTGAATCTTCTGCCTGGATCGAGTTCACAGAAGGCATGGTGACATACCTCTGGGTCCATCATCTATTTGATGCAACTCTCCTCTCTTACCTGAGCATTGCCCATAAGAGAGATTGTGACATATCCCTGGGTCTAGCACTGGGATGATGTGAATTCTCTCTGCCTGGGTCATGCCCACAGAAGGAAGTGTGACTTATAACTGGGAACAGCACAGGGGTGATGTGATTCTTCTGCCTGGTCCCTACATACAGGAGTCATTGTCAAATGCCTCTGGGCCCATCATCTAGACTATGTGACTCTCTACTTCTTCCTAGGGCCTGCTCACATAAGGATTGTGACATATTACATGCCCTACATCATGTGACATTTCTCTCATGTCTGGGCTCCGTCTTGGAGATGAATGTCACACATACCTAGGCCTAGCCCCTAGGTTCTGTAACTTCTCTTTTTTCAAAATCCTACCCACCAGGGGCATTGAAACATCTCTCTGGGCACTTCACTTAGGTAATGTTACCCTGTTGCCTGGAGCCTCCACTCAGGGGGTATGGTGACATATTGCTGGACCCAGTACCTATGTGATATACTCTCCTTTCTTGCCTGGGCCTTGTATACATTGTGTATTATAATATATAGCTGGGTTCAATGACTAGGTGTTGCAACTCTCATGCATAGGCCCTACCCACAGGGACATTATGACATTTCTTTAGCTCTGACTCTCCTCTTTTTCCTTAGCCCTGCCAAAAATGGAAGCGGTGACATATAACTGGACCTAGCAACCAGCTAATATGAGTCTCCTCTTTTGCCTGCACCCAGCATATTTTAGGTGTTGTATCATATCCTTTGTCTCAACACCTGCAGGATGAAATGCTCCTGCCTGAGCCCAGCCATCTGTCAAAATTGTTTCTCCCACACGAACATGGAACATAAATGAGGTTCTGAAACTCACACCCAGAGGCAGTCAAAAGTTGGAAAATTGGCTCTAATAAGTGGATGTTGTCCTTAAGTGGGTTTGTGACTCCCTGACCAAGATCCAAAACATTGTGAGGCTGTGAGTCCACTAAGATAACTCAGTTTTCAAAAGGGATTAAGGCTCTCATGGAAAAAACCCATTCCTCCATTGAGATTGTGACTTATGCACATAGATGCAACATACAGGAGGCGTTCACTCTCATATCCAGAACTGGCACTTATGAGGGATTATTAATCTCATCCATGGACCTTCCTGCAGGTGTGATTCTGACGTACACCTCTAGCCAGCTCCTGAGTGATTTGACTTTTTTGCCTGGGTGTAGCCCACAGATGAGATTGTGATATATCCTTGAATCCAGCATCTAATTAATATGCTTCTAATCTCCTGTCTTGGCACTGCCCATAAAGGGTATCCTGACCTAACACTGGTCCTGGCACTTTGTTATATGACTGTGTCCTGTGCTTTGCCCACATGAGCCATTGTGACATATTGCTGGGTCCAACACCCAGGTGATGTAACTCTTGTCTAGACTTTACCTACATGGGGTCATTGTGACATATCTGTGCACTGTTCACCCAGGTGATGGGACTCTCTTGTCCTGTCTGGTGCCTGTTCACAGCTGGGATTCTTACACATCGCTGGGGACAGACTCTAACTAATGTGACTGTCTTTTTACTGAGGACTACCCACAGGAGGAATTGAAAATATCTATGGGCCTCTCACTTAAATGATGTGACTCTTTTCCTGGGCTCATTTCTCAGGGTTATTGTGACATATGGCTGACCTCAGCATGGAGGTGATGTGAGTTTCTTCTACTGCTAGGGCTCTGACCAAAGACAGATTACAATGTATCATCGGGCCCAGCACCTGGGTGATTTGACTCTCCCCTCTTGGCTGGGCCCTGCATATATTGTGTATTGTGACATATCACTGGGTCCAACACCTAGGTAATGTGACTTACCTGCATGGCCCATTTCCACCTGGGTATTATGACATATCTTTTTGTTCATCACTTAGGTGATGCAACTCTCCTCTTTGCCTTGGGCCCTGCATAATTTAGCTATTGTGTTGTATCACTGGGCCAATCGCCTAGACAATAGGAATGTTCTGCCAAGGCCCTGACTACAGGGGACCTTGTGACATAGCTCTGCATTTATCACCTAGAAAATGTGATTCCCCCATTTCTGCCTGAGCCCTGCTCACAAGAAAAACTGTAGCATATTTCTGGGCCCAGCAAACAGGTGATGTGTTTCTCCTGCCTGTGCCTTGCTCACAGGGAAAATTGTGACATATCGCTGGACCCAGAACCCAGGTGAGGTGACTCTGCTGCATGTGTCATGCTTTCAGGAGGGAACAAGAACATATCCCTGGCAGAATACCTAGGGATGTGACTTTCTTGCCTTGTCCCTGTCCTCAGGGGAGAATGTGACATATCCCTGACAATGACCCAGGTGATGAGACCCTCCTGCTTGCTGACTACTCAAATGTGAGATTGTCACATATATTTTGGCCTAGCATGTAGGTGTGATGATGACATTCATACCTTAAACCAACCAATAGGAGAGATACTTTGTCTCATATCCAGGCTTTACAAAATGTGCAAAATTATGGGTCTTCTCTTACTATGAAGGTCAGAGAAAATAAGCACTCTTGCATATCCTGTAAAGCACTCAGATGGTACAGTGTCATCACAGGGCCCAGAACACAGGTGAGATTGTGTTCTCTGTGTGCACACCCACCAATCATCAGAATTGTCATTCCTACACAGGAACAGAGGTGATTAGGGAGGTCTAAACCTCATACCTGAGTGCCGTCCACAGCTGGAATTGTAACTATCACATGTGAACATCCAGTCACAGTGGGGATAGTGACTTATTTCTGAACCCAGTTTACAGCCAAGTAAAGATCCTCTTATCTGGATCCAGCCAGCTGGAGAGATGTTGACTCTCATACCTGGGCTTATGGCCACAGGTATGATCATAGGTTCATATCAGCATGAAGACCTCAGAGTGTATTATGTTTAATGCATACTCTACAAAGCCCATAGGAGGTACATAGTGTCCTAACAGGGCCCAGCAAACAGGTGAGATTCTAACACTCATGCACACTCTGGTGACAATAAAAGTTATCCTCAAAAATGAGCACAACCGGCCGGGTGCGGTGGATCAGGCCTGTAATCGCAGCACTTTGGGAGGCCGAGGCGGGTGGATCACGAGGTCAGGAGATCAAGACCATCCTGGCCAACGTGGTGAAACCCCGCCTCTCTACTATTTATTTATTATTATTATTTTGAGACAGAATCTTGCTCTGTCACCCAGACTGGAGTGCAGTGGCACCATCTAGTCTTACTGTAACCTCCGCCTCCCAGGTTCAAACAATTCTCTTGTCTCAGCTTCCCGAGTAGCTGGGACTACAGGCTCATGTCACCATGCCCAGTTAATTTTTCTATTTTTCGTAGAGACGGGGTTTCACCATATTGATTAGACTGGTGTCAAACTCCTGACTTCAAGTGATCCACCCACTTCGACCTCTCAAAGTTCTGGGATTACGGGCATGGAACACTGTGCCTGGCAACCCCATCTCTACTAAAAATACAAAAATTAGCTGGGCATGGTGGCATGTACCTGCAATCCCAGCTACTCAGGAAGCTGAGGCAGGAGAGTCGCTTGAACCCAGGAGGCAGAGGTTGCAGAGAACCAAGATCGTCCCACTGCACTCCAGCCTGGCAATAGAGTGAGACTCCATCTCAAGGGAGAAAAAAAAAAAAAAGAAAGCAAAGAAGAAAGAAAGAAAGAAAGAAAGAAAGAAAAAAAGAAAGAAAGAAAGAAAGAAAAAAGAGAAAGAAAGAAAAAGAGAAAGAAAGAAGGAAGGAAGGAAAAGAAAGGGAGAAAGAAAAGAAAAGAAAATAAAGAAAGAAAGAAAGAAAGAAAGAAAGAAAGAAAGAAAGAAAGAAAGAAAGAAAGAAAGAAAGAGAAAGAAAAAAAGAAAATTGACTCTCATATATGGATCTTGTCCACAGGTAGGTGGGTGACTCTCAAACCAAAATTCATTACATCTGTGAGACTGTAACTCTCCTAAGGGGACACGGTCAGCCAGAGAAGACACATTTATGAATCCAGTTCACTGTTGAGATTGAGACTGGTGTACTTAGGCCCAACATGCAAATTCTCATACCTGGAATCCGGACATGTGTGGAGTTGTTCATCTCATCCCTGTCGCTTTCTGCAGGTGGGATTGTGACATACATCTCTGCCCAGCTCCCGAGTATTTTAGCTCTGTTTCCTGTGCCCAGCTCACAGATGGGATTCTGATATATCACTGAAGCCAGCACCTAGGTTATGTGACTCTTACCTCCTGCCTTGGTGCTGCCCACAGGGGACATTGGGACATATCACTTGGCCTTGCACCTAGGTAATGTAAGTTTTCTGTCTTGCATTAGTGCTACTCACCGGGGCGTTGTGATGTATTGCTGGGTCTCACATCCATGTTATGTGACTCTTCTGCCGGTGCCCAGGCCACAATGGCCATTGTGACATACTGTTGCATACAAAACCTAGATGATCTACCTCTCCTTCCTGAGCTTTGCCTAAGGGGACATTGTGAAATATCTATGAGCCCATCACCCATGTGGTGTGATTTTCTTCTCCTGCCTAGTCCCTGCTTAAAGAAAGGATTGTGACATATCACTGTGCCCAGCACCTACCTCATGTTACTCTTCTTTTGTTTTATAGGATTTGTTTGGAAGGAGATTGTGATACATTGGTGGGTCCAACTTCGAGGTGACATTACTCTGTTGACTTTGCCCTGCAAGCAGAAAGCACTGTGACACATTATTAGGCCCATCTCCTGCCTGAAGCCTGCCTACAGCAATTTGTAACATATGGCATTGGGACATATCTCTGAGCCCATCAACTATTTGATAAAACTCTTCTTTTTTAACAAAGGCTTTGCCTATAGGAGAGATTGTGACTAATTCTGAGCTCAGAAAATAGGTGATGTTTCTTTAGTTTTTCTGCTTGAGCCCCACATTGTGATGTATTTCTGGTCCCAACAACTGAGGGAAGGGAATCTCCTGTCTGGGTCTTGCCTACAGGGAGACTTGTGAAATATTTCCGCGTTCATCACCTTAAATATGTGACCCTCATCTTCTGCGTGGCCATGTTTACAGAAGGGAGAATGGGTTATTCCTAGACCCAGCACACAGATCATGTGATTCTGCATCCTGGTCTCTTCAGAGGGTTCATTTTGACATATCTCCAGACTCATCAACTAGATGATGTGACGGTCCTCTTCTCCCTGAAACCTATCCATAGTGGAGATTGTGAAATACAGCCTGGCACAGCACCTACATGATGGTGCTCTCTTCTCATGCCTGGGTGCTGCCCACAGGGGTCATTGTGACATAGCTGGGTACAGTCTTCAGGTGATGTAACTCTCCTCTATTTTGGGGTGCACACACACAGGGCATTACCATATAGCTCTGCTCCTCAGACCTAGGTGATGTGACTCTCCTGTCTGTTACCTCCTCTTAGGGGGTATTGTGATATATTGCTGGGCCCAGAACCGAGGTGATGTGGCCTTTTCTCTTGCCTGGGCCCTGCATACATGGTGTACAGTAACATATATCTGGGTTGAACACATAGGTGATGTGACTCTTCTGCATAGGTCTTGCCAACAGGGGTATTATGACATACCTTTCTATTCATTGCCTAGGCTATGTGACTCTCCACTCTTATCTGGGCCCTTCCAAAAGAGGGGATTGTGACATATCAGTGACCCTACCACCAAGGTGATGTGACTGTTCTCTTTTGCCTGGGTTTGCATATTTTGGGTATTGTGACATATCCCTGGGCCCAACACTTAGGGGATAAAAGGCTTATTCCTCTACCTTATGCACAGAGAAACTTGTGACGTTTTTCTGCATTCATCACCAAGGAGATGTGACTCTCCTACCTGCATCCTGACCACAGAGAGGATTGTAACATATTGCTAGATCCAGCACCCAGGTGATGTGACTCTGCTGCCTGGTTCCTAATTTAAGGAGTGGATTGCTACATACCCATGCCTGAGCATTCAGGTAATGTGTCTCTGTTCCCTGGTCCCTGTTCTCAGGGAAGCGACATATCCCTGGCCCAGCGTCCAACTGATTTTACTCTCCTGCTCTCTTCCTATATGAAGGTGTAATTGTGACTTATATCTTGGAACACAACACACAGGTGCAATGATGACTTTCATATGTCACACCAGCCAATAGGAGAGATCCTGCTTCTCCTACCGACACTTAGGGAAATGAAAAAAAAAAATCCCTGGGTCTCCTCGTTAAGATCATCCACTCTCTCACATATTACAGAAAGCCCTCGGGTGGTAGAGAGTCTTATCACAGGGCCCAGCACACAGGTGAAATTTGTTACTCCTATGCGCACCCTGCACCCTCCTGGCCATTATGATTTTCACCCTCACATATAAACAGAACCCACTTGTGGGGTCCTGAATTTCACACATGAATGCAGTCTATAGTTGGAATTGCGAATCTCATATGTAAAGATCTGGCCACAGTTGGAATGGGAACTTCGTTATAAACCCACCGCATAGAAAGGTGATGATTCTCTTATCTGGACCCCGCCAATTGTAAAGATGTTGACTCATATATAGGCTTAGGGCCACAGGTTTGATCCTGGGTCCATACCAGCATGAAAATCTCTGAAAGAATTGAGACTGTCATGCATACCATATAAAGCCCTCAGGTGCAACACAGAAACTCCTAATAGGGCTCAGCACACAGTAATATAATGACATTGGGATGCACACCCAGCCAACATTAAAGATTGTCATTCTTTCACATGATCATAGTTCACTTTTGAGGCTCTGAATCCCATACCCAAAGGCAGTTTCAAAAGTTGAAAAACTGAGCCTTTTTTATGTGTCTTTTGGCTGTATACATATCTTCTTTTGAGAACTGTCTGTTCATATCCTCGCCCACTTGTTGATGGGTTTGTTTGCTTTTTTCTTATAAACTTGTTTGAGTTCTTTGTAGATTCTGGGTATTAGCCCTTTGTCAGATGAGTAGATTGAAAAAAATTTCTACCATTCTGTAGGTTGCCTGTTCACTCTGATGGTAGTTTCTTTTTCTGTGCAGAAGCTCTTTAGTTTAATTAGATACCATTTGTCAATTGTGGCTTTTGTCGCCATTGCTTTTGGTGTTTTAGACATGAAGTCCTTGCCCATGCCTATGTCCTGAATGGTATTGCCTAGGTTTTCTTCTAGGGTTTTTATGGTTTTAGGTCTAACATTTAAGTCTTTAATCCATCTTGAATTAATTTTTGTGTAACGTGTAAGGAAGGGATCCATTTTCAGCTTTCTACATATGGCTAGCCAGTTTTCCCAGCACCATTTATTAAATAGGGAATCCTTTCCCCATTTCTTGTTTTAGTCAGGTTTGTCAAAGATCAGATAGTTGCAGATGTGTGGCACTATTTCTGAGGGCTCTGTTCTGCTCCATTTGGTACCAGTACCAAGTACTCTGATTTGGTACCAGTACCATGCTGTGCTGCTATAAAGACACATGCACACGTGTGTTCATTGTGGCATTATTCACAATAGCAAAGACTTGGAACCAACCCAAATGTCCAATAATCATAGATTGGATTAAGAAAATGTGGCACATATACACCATGGAATACTATGCAACCATAAAAAATGATGAGTTCATGTCCTTTGTAAGGACATGGATGAAGCTGGAAATCATCATTCTCAGCAAACTATCGCAAGAACAAAAAACCAAACATGGCATGTTCTCACTCCTAGGTGGGAACTGAACAATGAGAACACTTGGACACGGGAAGGAGAACATCACACACCGGGGCCTGTTGTGGGATGGGGGAGGGGGAAGGGATAACATTAGGAGATATACCTAATGTAAATGAGGAGATAATAGGAGCAGCACAGCAACATGGCACATGTATACATATGTAACAAACCTGCACGTTATGCACATGTACCCTAAAACTTAAAGTACAATAAAAAAAGTTGAAAAACTGACTCTCATATGTGAGAGTCACAGATATGTTGATGACTCTCATATCATGAGTCGGCACACCTGTGAAGCCGTGATTTCAATTAGGGGAGAAAGTCTGCAAGAGAAAATGGGGCTGCCATGCACAAATTTAGTCCACTATTGAGATAGTGACTTGTGTACTTAGATCGAACTTACAGAAGGTGTTCACTCTCATGCCTAAAACCAGAATATGTGCGGGATTCATCCCATGTCTAGAACTTCCTGCAGGTGTCATTGTGACAAACATACACATTTGTCCAGCACCTGAGTGAGTAGACTCTCCTGTTTAAGCCCATCTCACAAATAAAATTGGGACATATCATTGGACCTAGAACGTAGGTGATGTGGCTCTATTCTCTCGACTTGTGCTGCCCACAGGGAGCATTGTAACATATCACTGAACTTAACACCTAGGAGATTGGGGGCTCCTGCCTGAACTCTGCCCACAGGGAGGCAGAGCATATTTCTGCCTTGTAGCATATTTCTGCCTCCATCACCAGATGATGTGACTCTCCTTTCTGCCTGCACCTTGCCCACAGGAAAGATTCTGACATATCACTGGGCCTAGTAATCAGTAATCAGGTGATGTGTCTCTCCTGCCATGGCTTTACCCACAGGGAGTGTGGTGACATATCACTGAGCTCAATATTCAGGTGATTTGACTCTGCTGCTTGTACTCTGATTTCAGGAGGGGATTGTAACATATCCTGGGTGAGCACACAAGTGATGGGACTCCCTTCCTAGCCTCCGACCTCATAAAAGATTGTTACATATCCCTGGCCCAGCCTTAGGTATGTGACTCTCCTACCTGGTCCCTGCCATCAGGGGAGATATTGACAGATCTCTGGCCAAGCATCCAGGTGATGCGACTCTCCTGCTCACTCCCTACCCACAGGAGAGATTGAAACATATATCTTGGCCAGCTCACAGGTGTAATAATGACTCTCATACCTCAAACCTGCCACTAAGAGAAATGCTGTTTTTCCTAGTGAGGCTTTGGAAAATCGGTAGGTCCTAAATCTTCTCTTTGTATGAGGGTCTTAGAGGAATACCACTCTCTCTTATATTATATAAAGCCCTTAAATGGTACAAAGAGTGTTATCACAGGGATATGTTGCATAACCTAGGGGAGGGGCCCAGTTATATGTCACAATTAGCCCAGGGGGCAGGGCACAGGCATGAGAAGAATCTCACCACATATGTGCTGGCCTAAGTGATACATCATCATCCCCACTGTGGACAGGTCGCAGTAAGAACAGGAGAGTCACATCATTCTAATAATGGTCTCAGAGATACATCACAATGACTCCCCTGGGCAGAAAGAAGGGATAAGAGTCACATCACCTGTGGGCTAGGCCCAGAGATGTCACTCTTACTTCTGTGGGCATGTCTCAGGCTGGAGAGGAGAATCACATTACCTAAGCACTGGACCAAGAAATACGTCACAGTCTTTCTCATGGGCAAAGTCCAGGTAAGAGAATAGAGCCACATCAAATAGTTCATGGGCTCAGAGATATGTCACTATGCTCCCTGTGGGCAGGGTTCAGGTAGGACCCTTACATTACCTTGGTGCTTGTTCAGCAATATGTCCCAATGCCTTCTAAGGACAGAGCAAAGACAAAAGAGTAAAATCATTTGGTGTTTTACCCATCGATATGTCACAATCTTCCCCGTGGGCAGAACCTGAAAAAAGGGAAGAGTCATATTAGCTAAATGCTGCGCCTAGCGATAAGTCACAATTCACCCTATAAGCAGGGACTAGACAGAAGATAGAGTTACATCATCTGGTGGCTGGTGCAGGGATACGCCACCATGCCCTCTCTAGGCAGGATCCAGACAGGAGAGCTATGTCGCCTGTGTTTTGGACCCAGAAATATGTCACAAACGCCCATGGACAGAGCACAGGAAAGACAGGCACATAACCTGAATATCAGGTTCAGTGGTATGTCCCAATGCCTCCTGTGAGCATTCCAAGGCAGGAGAGGAGACTCACATTACCTGTGTGCAAGACCCAGTGATACGTCACACGGAGGAGTACCACTGTCTTGCATATTGTGTAAACTATGGTAGAGAAATTGTCACCACAGGGCTCGCCACACTGGTGAGATTATACTTCTCAGATGCACACCACACCAATATTCAGGATGGTCTCTATCACATGTGGAGAGAGCCCACTCTTGAGGTCCTGAATTACACATGCAGACATAGTCCACAACTGGGATTCTGACTTTCATATGTGAACATCCAGCCACAGGTGGGATGGTGACTCATTTTTAAACGCAGCTCATAGGCAGTTAAGAACTCTTATTTGGACCCATCCAAGTAGAAAGATGTTGACTGTCATACCAGGGCTTAAAGCTAAAGGTACAAGGAGGGGTCCGTGCCTGCTTAAGGTTTCAGAGAGAATTGTTACACTCATGCATACTCTATAAAGGCTTCATATGGTGAAGAGAGTGTCCTGCTAGGGCCCAGAACAAAGGTGAGATTGTGATACTCATATGTACACTGAGCCAAGAGCAAAAATTGTCATCTTTTCACATGAACACAGCCCAATGTTAAGGTTCCGAATCTCACACCTGTTGATCTACCTGCTGATGGAATAGTCTGTCAAGAGAAAGCAGAGATGCATGAGCATCAATCTGGAAAACAGCAATAATGGTAGTGTGCACCAGGATTCAGATATCTTCCTAGTATTGTTTTCTCCAAACCTCTTTATTCGTAATTCACCATTTGTTTCATTGTCATTCGGGCAACTAGGTAGTAAGACCATTTTCTGCTAAGCAAGAGTAGGTATACAAGTAACAAATCCCTCTGGCCTCCTCCTGAATAGTTCAGAGAACAGATTCTAGTTCAGCCAGCTGGCTGCTAACACCCCTCCCTTCCTCAGAAATGCTTATGTTTTTAACAGGATTATAAGACACGGCCTCCCAGCATCGGGTCCCATCAATATATTTGGTGGAATCATCAGCAAACCAAGCATGTCTCTGATCGTCTGGGCTTGGTTCTTTAAAGGATTTGCCCCATTGGGCAGGGGAGGTTTCCTTCCCTATCTGCAGGACTTGCTCAGTGGTTTGCTGAGCTGGCAAGTTTTGCACATCCTCATTTAAAAATGATACCTGTTTTGGTTCCGGCTTAGCCTGGTCTTGTATGTGCCATTTCCATTTACTTTCTTGAGTGTACCCTATCCAATGAGGTTTGAGGGAGCTCATGACCCAAGTCATATTAGGAATTTGGGGCCTCATAAAAACATCATGATTAAGACAAAGGTGTTCTGTTTCCTGTAAAGCCCAGTAGCAGGTCAACAGCTGCTTCTCAAAGAGTATAAGCTTTGCTAGCCTCTGACAGCTTCTGGGTCTAAAACCCCAAAGGTATCTCTTCCCATCTTGTTTCTACCTAAGGCCCCAATGAGCGTGTTGATCTAGGACAGTTACTTGCAGTTCTACTGGCCCATCCTGTAAGGGCCATACTGTTGCTCTGCTTGTTTGGCTGGTTGAAAAGCCACGCTCACTTTCTGTCTTCAGTGAAAGTCATAGCGTTTTCTAGTGACCGCATGCAGAGGTTGTAAAATGTTACCCAAGTGGGGAATATGATGTTTCCAGAATCCAAACAAACCAATACAATTTTGGACCTCCTTTTCAGTGGTAGGGCTGCAAATTCTAGTATTTTAGCCTTAGCCTTTGGTAAAATGGACTGTTTCCCTGCATTCCATAGGATGCCAAGGAACTTTACAGTTTGTGCAGGTCCTTGAATTTTACTAGGGTTAACTTCCCATCCTTGAGATAGGATTTGGGTTTTTACCGGATCCAAGCCCCAGCTGACTAGTTCTTCAGTTTTACCCTGACTGGGCCACTCAGGAAGCTGCTTTTTTCAGCAATAGGCTGATAACTTTGAGGCTGATCAGTCAAGACATAGGCCTGGCCATGGGCCAGGGCCAGCCTGGAAGTCTGATTAGCATTTTCTTTTCTGGCTTACATTTCTGTTGTAGCAGCTGATTCCTATCTTGACACATTAACTTATAAGCAGTAAGCAAGCACCATCCATGCCGGGAAATTCCCTCAGCATCCCATTTACCAACTGGGATTCCCTGCACCTCCTCACACACAGCCAATGATTCAAAATGCACTAACTTAGATTGCCTATTTTCACAAACGCCAGCTCCCTTGGACCACTGAATGGCCAAGGGGAAGAACTAGGGGAGTTCCCATCTGAAGATATGGAAAGTCCCTGAGCTCCCAGTCTGGTCCCTGCACCAAAAAATGGCATGCTTTTGCTTTCGGATCCTGTTCGTGAAGCCAAAAATGTTCTGCACAGGAAATGCTCAAGGAGAGAAGGAAACGCACACACACACACACACACACACACACAATACCTTTAAGGGTAAACAAACTGTATCCCACATAAATGGCAATGCAGATATAATAAGCAAATGATATAATAAGCAAGTTGCAATGGGACGGAGAGAAGGGAAAAGAGATATATATATTTACACTCATCAGACTATGGAGGATTCACCACCAGACTGCGAAGCAACAGACTGGGCTCCAGAGTTGGCCACTTGTCCGTGAACAGATGAGAAGAGATCTCATGAAGTTTTGGCACAGTCTGGAACCCTAGCTCTTTTTGTAATGAGTTATCTGGCATGACGTCCAGTCAGGAGGGCCCTTCATTTCTGGGCTCAAGGAAAAGAAAAAGGTCAACTTGTTTTTTGTGATTGTCTGTTGTTTTTCAGTAACTAACATATAGGAATAAATTGAAATAGAGATTTATCCGAAACAGCGCTGGATGAAAGCCTCAAGGGGCTCACACAACCTGTTCCAGGACTTGGTGACCATTGTTTGAGTCCAGATTCAATTGAGTTCAAATTTAATATTTAAATTTTACTCCACAAAGTGTCAAAAGTAATTCCTTCAAATGCAGAAAATTATGTAACTACTCACAAACTAAACTTCTCAACCAAAAGTCATAAATTGAGTATAGGAATTAAAAAAAAAAAAGAAAGAAAATCTAACTACATCTGTCTAAAGGGACTCAATTTATTTATTTATTTATTTTAGAGACTTGGTATTGCTTTGTTTCCCAGGCTGGTCTCAAACTCCTGGTTTCACGTGATCCTCCCACCTCAATCTCCTAAAATGCTAGGATGACAGATATGAGCCATCTTACACTATAGTAACAAAAAAAGACTAAATGTGGCAAGGTGCATCCAAAAAATTATGCAAATCATAACCAAATGAGGACAATGTCACAATTATAGTATGCAAAATGCTTTTTAAATAACTGTCTTAGTTTATAAAATATATTATGAAATCAAATTGTCAGAAAAACAAAGGACAAAATAATAAAAGGGTTTATTCACTGGAAACCTATGACAATTATACACATTTATATAATTGTGTGTATATATCTAATTATGTATACACACAAATATGTATGCACCTTACATGAGTATTTTTAAATATATCAATAATATCTTGACAGAACATAAGCAAAAACGGCAATATATTAAAAGTATAATATTTTAATACACCAGTTCTGTAATTAATAAAAAAGCCAGATAGAATATTAAAAAGTAAACAGACGACATGAAAATACTGTAAAGCAATTAGATATAACAGATGCATACAGAACACTCTACACAAAAACAAAACTCACAATCTTCTCAAAAGCTCATGAAACATTCTCCTAAAAATAACTATGAAGCCAAAAAACAATTCTGAACAGAATTTTTGAAAAATTGAATGTTACAAAAAATTCAAAAATCAATGAATATAGGAGTTATTTTTTTGAAAAGATCAACAAAATAGACTGCTAGCAAGACTAATAAAGAAAAGAGAGAAGAATCAAAGAGAAGCAATAAAAAATGATAAAGGGGCTATCACCCCTGATCCCATAGAAATACAAACTACCATCAGAGAATGTTATAAACACCTCTACGCAAATAAACTAGAAAATCTAGGACAGATGGGTAAATTCCTGGACATATACATCCCCCACAAGACTAAACAAGGAAGAAGTTGAATCTCTGAATAGACCAATAACAGGTTCTGAAATTGAGGCAATAATTAATAGCCTACCAACCAAAACAAGTCGAGGACCAGACGGATTCACAGCTACATTCTACCAGAGGTACAAAGGGGAGCTGGTACCACCCTTCTGAAACTATTCCAATCAATGGAAAAAGAGGGAATCCTCTCTAACTCATTTTATGAGACCAGCATCATCCTGATACCAAAGTCTGGCAAAGACACAACAAAAAGAGAAAATTTTAAGCCAATATTCCTCATGAACATCGATGCAAACATTCTCAATAAAATACTGGCAAACCGAATCAGGCAGCACTTCAAAAAGCTTAACCACCAAGATCAAGTGTGCTTAATCCCTGGGATGCAGGTTCAACATATGCATATCAGTAAACATAATCCATCACATAAACAGAACAAATGACGAAAACCACATGATTATCTCAATAGATGCAGAAAAGGCCTTCGAAAAAATTCAACAGCTTTCATGCTAAAAAATGCTCAATAAACTAGATATTGATAGAATGTATCTCAAAATAATAGGAACTATTTATGACAAACTCACAACCAATATCATGCAGAATGGGCAAAAACTGGAAGCACTCCCTTTGAAAACCGGTACAAGACAAGAATGTCCTCTCTCATCACTCCTATTCCACATAGTGTTGGAAGTTATGGCCAGGGCAATCAGGCAAGAGAAAGAAATAAAGCATATTCAACTAGGAAAAGAGGAAGTCAAATTGTCCCTGTTTGCAGATGACATGATTGTATATTTAGAAAACTCCGTCGTCTCAGCCAAAAATCTCCTAAGCTGATAAGCAACTTCAGCAAAGTCTCAGGATACAAAATCAATGTGCAAAAATCACAAACATTCCTACAATAACATACAGAGAGTCAAATCCTGAGTGAACTCCCATTCACAATTGCTTCAAAGAGAATAAAATACCTAGGAATCCAACTTACAAGGGATGTGAAGGACCTCTTTAAGGAGAACTACAAACCACTGCTCAACGAAATAAAAGAGGACACAAACAAATGGAAGAACATTCCGTGCTCATGGAAAGGAAGAATCAATATTGTGAAAATGGCCATGCTGCCCAAGGTAATTTATGGATTCAATGTCATCCCCACCAAGCTACCATTGACTTTCTTCACAGAATTGGAAAAAACTACCTTGAAGTTCATATGGAACCAAAAAAGAGCCCGCATAGTCAAGACAATCCTAAGCAAAAAGAACAAAGTTGGAGGAATCGCGCTACCTGACTTCAATCTATAATACAAGGCTACAGCAAGGAAAGCAGCATGATACTGGTACCAAAGCAGATACATAGACCAATGGAACAGAACAGAGGCCTCAGAAATAACACCAAACATCTACAACCATCCGATCTTTGAAAAAAACTGACAAAAACAAGCAATGGGGAAAGGATTCCTTATTTAATAAATGGTGCTGGGAAAACTGGCTGGCCATATGCAGAAAACTGAAACTGGATCCCTTCCTTACACTGTATACAAAAATTAAGTGAAAATGGATTAAAGACTTAAATGTAAGACCTAAAATCATAAAAACTTACAAGAAAACCTAGGCAATACCATAGGCTTGGACAAAGCCTTCATGACTAAAACACCAAAAGCAATGGCAACAAAGCCAAAATTGACAAACGGGATCTACTTAAACTAAAGAGCTTTTTGTAAAGGGCCCGCTAGGCATATCCAAAGCGGGCAGAAGGCTCCTCAGGGGAAGGTAAGTTTTGAGGGAGTGCAGGTGAGGCACCTGTGGCAGAAAAAAAAAAAAACGCAAAACAAAACAAAAAAAAACTCGCCGCCAAGAAGCGTTCCTGGTTCCCCCACGGACGAAAGTGCCTTCCCATCAGTCCCTGCACTGGGCCTTGGATACTCTGGCGTCCCTGGTTCGAACCCAGGGAGCGACTCAGGCCCGCTAGGGGTACCCCAAAGCGGGCAGAAGGCCCCTGAGGGGAAGGTTAGGTTTGAGGAAAGGGAGGTGAGGCACCTGTGGATGAAAAAAAAAAAAAAGAAAAAAACTCAGCGTCGAGACGCATTCCTGGGTCCCCCACGGAAGAAAATGCCTTCCCATCAGTCCCTGCGCTGGGCCCCGGTGACCCTGGCTTCCCCGGTTCGAACCAAGGGTGCGTCCCGGGCCCGCTAGGGGTACCCCAAAGCTGGCAGAAGGTCCTTGAGGGGAAGTTAAGGTTTGAGGGAGGGGAGATGAGGCACCTGTGGCAGGAAAAAAAAAAAAACCGCGCCGCCAAGAAGCGGAGACTGGGTCCCCCAAGGACGAAAGTGCCTTCCCATCAGCCCCAGCGCATGGCCCCGGGACCCTGACATCTCTGGTTTGAACCCAGGGTGCGTCTCGGGCCCGATAGGGGTACCCCAAAGCGAGCAGAAGGCCCCTGAGGGGGAAGACTAGGTTTGAGGGAGGGGAGGGGAGGCAATTGTGGCAGGAAAAAAACAAAAAACAAAAAACACAGCGCCGTCAAGAAGCGGGCCTGTGTCCATCACATAAGAAAGTGCCTTCCCATCAGCCCCCGCGCATGGCCCCGGGAACCTGGCGTCCCTGGTTCGAACCCAGGGTGCGTCTCGGGCCCGCTAGGGGTACTCCAAAGCTAGCAGAAGGCCCTTGAGGGAAGGTTAGGTTTGAGGGAGGGGAGGCACCTGTGGCAGGAAAAAAAAAACAAACCGATCCGTCGAGAAGCCGAGACTGGGTCCCCACGGACGAATGTGCCTTCCCATCAGCCTCTGCTCTGGGTCCCGGGGACCCTGGCGTCACTGGTTGAGCACAAGGAGCGTCTCGGGCCCACTAGGGATACCTCAAAGTGGGCAGAAGGCCCCTGCGGGGAAGGTAAGGTGTGAGGGAGAGGAGGTGAGTCACCTGTGGCACAAAAAAAAAAAAAAAAAACGCGCCACCGAGAAGCGTTCCTGGGTCCCCCACGGACGAAAGTTCCTTCCCATCAGCCCCTGTGCTGGACCGCGGGACCCTGGCGTCCCTGCTTAGAACCCACGCAGCGTCTCGGGCCGGCTAGGGGTACACCAAAGCGGACAAAAGCCACTGAGGGGAAGGTAAGCTTTGAGGGAGGGGAGGTGAGGCACCCGTGGCAGGAAATAAAAAAGCGCCCCGGAGAACCGGGGCCTGGGTCCCCACGGACAAAAGTGCCTTCCCATCAGTCCCTGGGTTGGGCTCCGGTTACCATGGATCGCCGGTTCCAACTCAGGCCCTCTCGGGCCCGCTAGGGGTACCACAAAGCGGGCAGAAGGCCCCTGAGGGGAAGTTAAGGTGTGAGGGAGGGGTGGTGACGCAGCTGTAGCAGAAAAAAAAGGAAAAAACAGCGCGCCTCCGAGTAGCGTTCCTGGGTCCTTCTCGGAAGAAAGTGCCTTCCCATCAGCCCCAGCGCATGGCCCGGGACCCTGGCGTCCCTGTTTCGAACCCAGGGAGAATCTCGGCCTGCTATGGTTTCCCCAGTGCGGGCAGAAGGCCCCTGAGGGGAAGGTGGGGTTTGAGGGAGGGAAAGTGCAGCACCTGTGGCAGGAAAAAAACAAAACAAAACTCGCCACCAGGAAGCGTTCCTGGGTCCTGCACGCACGAAAGTTCCTTCCCTTCAATCCCTGCGCTGGGACCCGGGGACCCTGGCGTTCCTGATTCCAACCCAGGGAGGGCCTCGGGCCAGCTAGGGGTATCTCAAAGTGGGCAGAAGGCCCCTGAGGGGAAGGTTAGGTTTGAGGGAGGGGATGTGAGGCACCTGTGGCAGGAAAAAAAAAATCGCGCCGCCGAGAAGCGGGGCCTGGGTCCCCCATGCACGAAACTGCCTTCCCTTCAACCCCTGCTCTGGGTCCCAGGGAACCTTGCGCCCCTGATTCGAACCCATGGAGCTTCTCGGGCCCGCTAGGGGTACCCCAAAGCGGGCAGAAGGCCCCTGAGGTGAAGGTAAGATTTGAGGGAGGGGAGGTGAAGCACCTGTGTCAGGAAAAAAAAAAAAAAAAAAACAACCTCGCCGCCGAGAAGCGTTCCTGGGTCTCCCACTGACGAAGGTGCCTTCCCATCAGCCCCTGCACATGGCCCCGGACCCTGGTTCGAACCCAGGGAGCGTCTCGGTCCCGCTATGGGTACCCCAAAGCGGGCAGAAGGCCCCTGAGGGGAAGGTTAGGTTTGAGGGAGGGGAGGTGAGTCACATGTGGCAGGGAAAAAAAAAAAGAAAGAAAGAAAAAAAAAAAAACCTCACAGCCGAGAAGCGGGGCCTGTGTCCCCCATGCACGAAAGTGCCTTCCCATCAGCCCTTGCTCACGGCCCCGGGACCGTAGCGTACCTGGTTCGAAACCAGGGTGCAAACAAAACTATTATCAGATTGAACAGGCAACCTACAGAATGGGAGAGAATTTTTGCAATCTACCCATCTGACAAAGGGCTAATATCAAGAATCTACAAATAGCTAAAACAAATTTACAAGAAAAAAAAACAACCCCATCAAAAAGTGGGCAAAGGATATAACAGACACTTTTCAAAGGAAGACATTTATGCAGCCAACAGACATATGAAAAATTGCTCATCATTGGTCATCAGAGAAATGCGAATCAAATCCACAATGAGATATCATCTCACGCCAGTTAGAATGGCGATCTTTAAAATTTCAGGAAACAACAGATGCTGGACAGGATGTGGAAAAATAGAAACACTTTTACACCGTGGGTAGGAGTGTAAATTAGTTCAACCATTGTGGAAGACAGTGTGGTGATTCCTCAGGGATCCACAATGAGAAATACCATTTGACCCAACAATTCCATTACTGGGTATATACCCAAAGAGTTATAAATCATGCTACTATAAAGACACACACACGCATATGTTTATTGCGGCATTATTCACAATAGCAAAGTCTTGGAACCAACCCAATTGTCCATCAATGATAGATTGGATTAAGAAATTGTGGAGCATATACAGCATGGAATACTATGCAGCCATAAAAAGTATGGGTTCATGTCCTTTACAGGGACATGGATGAAGATGGAAACCATCATTCTCAGCAAACTATCACAAGGACAGAAAACCAAACACCGCATGTTCTCACTTATAGGTTGGAGTTGAACAATGAGAACACATGGACACAGGGCGGGGAACATCTCACATTGGGACCTGTTTGGGGGTGAGGGACTATGAAAGGAATAGCGTTAGGAGAAATACCTAATGTAAATGATGAGTTGATGGGAGCAGCAAACCAACATGGCACATGTATACCTGTGTAACAAACCTGCACGTTCTGCACATGTACCCTAGAACTTAAAGTATAATAAAAAAATTGAATGTTACATACTATAATTTCTGACCAAAAAGGATTAAAACTAGCAATCGATAACATAAGAAAATTCATACAATTCACAAATATGTAAAAATTAAGCAATTTACTCTTGAACATGCTTTTGTTCAAGAGTTAGAAAACTTAATATTTTGAACATGTCTATAATGCCAAAAGTGACCTACAGATTTAATACAATCCCTATAAAATTCTTAATTTTATTTTTGACAGATACAGAAAATGTGACTCCCAAAAGTATATGGAATTTCAGGAGACCACAAAGAACTCTACAGTTTTCAAAAAGAGAAAAATTTTGGAAACATTACAATTCCTGTTTTCAAAACCTGTTACAAATCTACAGTAATCTAAGTAGTTTGTTACTGGCATAAAGACAGACAAATAGACTAATAAAACCGAGTGCAAAAAAGATGTAAACGCTCACATATTTATTGTAGCTTTACTTACAAAAATCAATAGGTTAAAGCAATCCATACTTCCCTCAACAAACAAATGAATGGGTACAATTTGGAATATAAAAACAATAGAATATTACCCAGCTTTTGAAAAGCAGAAAACCTTTTATCTATAATAAAAATAAAATCTTGATGACATTATGCTAAATAAAAAAAGCCAGCTACAAGACAGATACTGAGTGTATCCACATGTATAAAATATCTAAAGTAGTAACATCCTTAGAAACAGAGAATAAGATAGCATTTGTAAAGGGCTGAACAAAGGAGAAGACAGGCAGTTGTTTCAGGTGTATTGAGTTTTAGTTTTGTAAGATAAAAATGTTCTAGAGATACGTCGAATAATGTCAATGTGCTGAAAAGTCTAAACTATATAATTATTGTCATTGTAAATTATTGTAAAATTGTAAATAATTGTCAATTTTATATGTTTCTTATAACAATGTAAACAATAATAATATCTAAGTGAGATACCGTTTTAATGCATTTCAATAATTATCTTCAGGACCTCGGCAAAACCTGAGTCCTGTCCTCTCGCTTTCCTCCCCGTGCACAGCGAGCTTCACCACTTGCTCCGCACCTTCTCCATCAACTACTACCTGTCCCTGGGATCTGTCCAGTCGCCCAGCTAAAGTGCTCAGCAGGTCAGCAGCGCGGCGAGCTTCTATGCAGGCGTGGGGTCTGGGGCTCCTGGATCTCTGTGTCCCATTTCACAGAGATTGCCACCTACTGCCGCCTGTTAGAAGATGGGGAGGACTTCAATCTTGGTGGTATTCTGGACAGCAGCAAATACCTGTAAAGCATCCAAAAGACCAACACCCACAGGATAGTGGACGGCAAAGTGGTGTCTGAGACCAACATCACAGACGTCTTGAGGTGCTAAACCAGCAGAAGCAAGGTCCCTTTGCGGAGCAGGAGGGCAATAAAAACTTCTGTGGTCAAAAAAAAAAAAAAAAAAAAATTACCCTCGCATCACAGAGGTGTTTTCCTCACGCAAACGTAATATAGATTCATTAATACATAGATGTGGAAATTAGGGCAATTTCCACAACTACTCACCCAGAGAGGATTAAAAAAATAATTGACCACCAACTAATTAAATAAATACAGAAGTCATAAATAAAGCATGAGTAATGTTTATACAGTCAAACGAACAGAGAATTATGTTTGCAATACACATATGGTTGATTCATATTTGACTTTTTTTCTACACTCTTTTAAAGTGTACACAGTTAAATATAGTCATAAAAAATTATAACATATAAGCAGAAACTAAAAACACAATTAAATGATGTAAGACAGCCTATCCTAACAGGAAAATACAGGAATATAAAATATTACAAAACAAAATTGGATAAACATTAACCTGTGAAATACTGAATAAACAAATCATGCAACTGAAGAAGACTCTTTCTAGATAACTGAAATATTCAACCATAACTGGACACCCATAAAGAACAGATTTTGAATTATTAGCATATGGTTAGAGTAACAAAATTTCACAACAAATGCATTATAATCTTCTATAAAGAACATTTAGAAGAAAATTTTAATGAAGATTTCAATGATATTAGAGAACAGAGTCTCGCTCTGTTACCCAGGCTGGAGTGTAGTGGCGAGACCTCGGCTCACTGCATCCTCCACCTACCAGGCTGAAGCAATTCTCTGCCCCAGCCTCCCGAGTAGCTGGGATTATAGACACCCGCCCCCATGCCCTGCTCATTCTTTCTGTGGTTTTTGTGGAGACGGGGTTTCACCATGTTGGCCAGGCTGGTCTTGAACCCCTGACATTGTGATCCACCCACCTCAGCCTCTTAAAGTACTGGGATTACAAGCGTGAGCCACCGCACTGGCCTATAATTTGTTTTTTTTTTAAGTAAAGAAAAGCTTTATATTTTTAAATATGGGAACAACATGAATATTGAAAAATATGCAATGAAACACTACTACATAATAAGCAATGAGAAATAAATTATACTATCATTCAGATAATGTTGAGGAAAGTTAATAGAAACACTAATGATAAGTTTTTCTATGCAGTAAACTTAGACACACAAACTGAAATTTTATTAATGTGAGGTGCATACTAAGTAATTCACTTTTTATATAACACATAAATTCAAGTATGCTATTCTGAAATCCCTGAAGCTAAAATTATAGGCTAATTTGGGATACATAAAAATCAAAAAGTGAAAACGTGCAGATCACAGTCCCACTAAGCTTTATATAAGATTAAATAATAAAATAACTCAATAAGAAATAATGTAACAATTAAGAATTTATTCTATTCTTGGCAGGTTTCTAAGTTTTTCTATGGCATTAAGGTCTTTAAAAATTCTTTGAGGTGAGTAGATACAATAAACTATTCCACAGGTGAGGTGCTTGGCATAGAGAGTTCACGTTTTTAAGTTAATTTCTACCAAGGAAAAGAAAACTTTTTGACCTACATTACCAGAGATGAAAAAAAGAATAAAGTGAAATAGAAGCTTCACTATATCATATGTGCTGAGGTGTTTTGGGCTCTGATAAAAGTTTTTCCGATTTTTTTGCAGGATCACATTTGAAATCATAGGACTGAAAATTATGAAGCAGAAACATTTGTCCTTGGTGTTTCTGAAATATGTGAACCAAACCCCAATGCCTGCACTTTTACTCTCACAAACTTCTGACATGAGGAACAGATTTTTACAAAATAGCTTAATATAGAAGTCTCGCAAAATGTGCAGATTTCCCCAGATCCCCCAAAACAATGGAAAAGCACTCAGACCACAAGGCCTTCAAGGGAATAACAGAAAGAAGAGGAGAACTTCGGCTGTCACTGTGAATGCCCTGGAATGTTAGTGGAGGGACAGGAGGAGCCTTAGAAGATTTAGGAGCATAATAAGCATAGGGTAGGAAATGTCCATCTGTGGCAGCAAAAGAAGTAAATCTAGGATTTTCCAGAACCAATTTCATTGAAGCGAACTTCCCACATCACATTTTTAAAGTTTCCTCCTTGGCCTTTGCACCTCTCATCTTTGTTATTTGTTCATTATTGCCTATTGGGGTGATGCCTATTATTTTCTCTCTTTTTACATTCCAAAGATATTTCCTTTACTGTAGAACAGGGGCATCCAAGGGAGAATCTCACCACGACCCCAGGTCTAGAGCGCCCGGAGTCCGCCATCCCTGGGAATGGAGGCGGCTTCGGCCTGGGGTCGTGGTGAGATTCGTTTGTGGCTGCGCGATTGTGGCGGAGTTGCAAGCAAACGGGTTTCATCACCTTAAATGGTTTTGAACCAAAGAAGATGTATTCCCTTAAAAAGACGGACAACCCATCGTGTGAACTATAGAGTTTGTGAACAAATTTATATTGGGTTCATAGTGGCGTCATGCACGCAGACTCCTGCGAGTTCCCCTAAGTTCTTAGAGGACTGCTTTGCCTTTTGATCTCAGAGTTGCAAAGTTCCCTAAAGAATGGCCCTTGTGGATAAGCGCTAAGTCAAGAGACAGCGATTGGACAGAATTTGTGAGGAATTCGCCCCTAGATCATGAAAGTCACCCTGAACCCCGCCTCGTGGTGGCTCTGCTGGATGGACGGGACTGCACTGTGGACATGCCCATCCTGAAGGACCTGGCCACCTGGCCTTCTGTGAGGCTCAGTCCATGCAGGAGATCCACGAGAAAGTTCTAAACGAAGTCGTGGGCGCCATGATGTACCACACCTTCTCCCTCACCAGGGAGGACCTGGAAAATTTCAAGGCCCTGAGAGTGATCGTGCAGGTGGCCAGTGGCTACGACAACGTGGCCATCAAGGCTGCTGGCGAGCTCGAAATTGCTGTTGCAGCATCCCGTCTGCAGCCGTGGAAGAGACAGCCGACTCCACCACCGGCCACATCCTCAATCTGTACTGGGGGAACAGGTCGCTGTACCAGGCACTGAGGGAAGGCACGCGAGTTCAGAGCATGGAGCAGATTGGCGAGGTGGCCTCAGTAAAGGCCCGCATTCGTGGGGAGATATTGGGCCTCATCGGCTTCGGTCGCACGCAGCAGGAGGTTGCAGTTCGAGCCAAGGCCTTTGCAGGATGGGATCGAGCGGTCCCTGGGTGTGCATAGGGTCTACACCCAGCAGGATTTGCTGTATCAGAACGACTGCGTCTTCTTGCATTGCAATCTCAACGAACAAAACTACCACCTTATCCATGACTTTACCATAAAGCAGATGAGGCAGGGAGCATTCCTTGTGAACGCAGCCCGTGGTGGCCTGGTGGACGAGAAAGCCTGAGCACACACCCTCAAGGAGGGCAGAATACGAGGGGCAGCCCTCGACGTGAATGAGTCGGACCCCTTTAGTTTTGCTCGGGGTCTGTTGAAAGATGCCTGGAATCTCATCTGCACTCCTCTCACTGCCTGCTACAGCCAGCAGGTGTCACTGGAGATGAGCGAGGCAGTTGCCACTGAGATCCGCCAAGCCATCATAAGTCGCATCCCGGGAAGCTTAAGAAACTGTGTGAACAAGGAATTCTTTGTCACATCAGCGCTTTGGTCCGTAATAGACCAGCAACAAATTCATCCTGAGCTCAGTGGTGCTACCTACAGATATCTGCCAGGCATGGTGGGCGTGGCTCCAGGAGGACTTCTGCAGCCAGGGAAGACATCATCCCTGGAGACATCCCAGTGACCGACAACCTCCCAACAGTGGTACATCCTTCCCAAGGGCCCTCTCCCAACAGCCCACAAAACACGGGGACAGTCGAGAGCATCCCAACGAGCAATAGCAGAGAATGCCGGAAGGTAATTATTCAGATATACTTGGGAACAGTGAAAAATAGATAATCTAAGAGAAAAAGAATCTGACGGCCTTTTTAGCTGATTCCGGACATATGCATCATTGTTGTTGCAGTGTTAAAACAAGAGCTAGAAAACTGACAATGTCGTCTGCTTACGGAAGCTCTGAAAGACTAGGGTGTGATTTACTAACGACCAACTTCTATTATTGTGTGTTAAGTTTTTCATCTGTGCATCAAATCACAAAGAATAAATAGAACTTTTCCCTTTATCAGTCCCTTAGGCACAGCAGGTCCTGAACACCCTGCTTATATGTTGCATCAGCAGTTCAAATATCAAAATAAAAACCATGAAGAGGAAATCCGCATCCTGTGACTTGAGTCCCTTCAGTCTACAGGGACTGGTTACCGCTTTTTGCTAATAGGAAGATTACATTACTAGAAAATGTGGAGTAAACTGTTTGCCTGTGGTAAACACCTGCATGCAAAGGATTGAAGACAGTACGGGCTCCTGTACAGAGACGCGTCTCTCACATCTGAGCTGCATATTGAGCGGCAAGTTGGTTGTAAGTTCAGTAAAAGCCGCTGATGATGCAAAAAAAAAAAAAAGTATTAAGTTTCACAAGCTGTTAGTAATCAAGTATATTTTCTCAGTTTCAGATCCTCTGCGATTTTATTGAGTGGAAAGTCTTGCGCTGAAAGGGTTCAAGAAAAATAATATTGCATTTCCTTATGTCACAGGAAACACTTTTAATGGTAACTTGTCAGACTATGAACAAACCCACTTTTTAAGATATTGATAAAGTCTTTTCTTCACGTGATATTTTATACAAGAACACTTCAGATGTATTGGATGTGGCTGATTTTAACAAATCCTATTAGATTTGTATCAATTAGTTACATGTTCTATTCATAGTCTTTTGTGAATCATTGCCTTTTTGTTTAAAAAGATGGCCTATTTTGAGCCTTTGTATAAGTACATTCCTGTTTTTGTGACAAAAGAAAAACTTTAAATTTGTCCCAAAGAGAAAAATAATGGCTATCAGAAGTATGCTTTGTTTTAGTTCGAGTTACCGTTACTGTATTTGTGTATTGTAAAGGTGGACATTCTAATTACATTAAAATGTAATTAGAAAAAAGTGCTTAATGAACAAAAACAGAACATAGACAACAAAAGAATATTAGAAGTGATGCATGAAGAAAACGAGATATCAATAAAAAGATTTTTAAAAACCAAGAAAAATTGTGACTCTGAAGAACACAGTAACTATATTAAAAATTTAATCAGCAGTCACAAAAGTGGATTTAATAAAGCAGAAAAAATTAGACAGTTGATAACATTGCACTTATAAATACTGATTCATGAAAACAAATTTTTTAAACGGAATAGAGAAAAAATGAAAATTGGGACTTACAGCACACCACCAAGTGGACCACTGTATTTATAAAAGGAGTCTTAGAAAAACAGTATAGGAGAAAAATAATAAAGAGGATATTTTTAAAAAGTAGCTGAGAACTCCCTAGATGACAAGGTAATTAAACAAGAAGAAATCATGCTAAACAAAAACCTTCAACTGGAATAATTTCACTTCAGAAAAAAAAAGTTAAGCATTTCCAAAACAAATAAAGGTTGAGTGTGTTACTAACCACTGGAACAGTGCTAAAGGAAATGTAAAAGAAAGTCTATCACGTCCAAAAATGACAATATATGCCGCACAGCGTCATATAAGCATATGAAAATAGAAAGCTCTCTATTAAAGGTAAATACATAAATAGCTATAGAAACCTCTACTGTCATAATGATGGTGCACAAAACTTTCACGTTATTGCTATGGAATTTAAAAAATGAAGCAGAAAGCTGCATAAATATGGGTTCATAGATACTCAATAAGAAAAGATAACAAGTGATATTAATAACAAAGTGGGGGTATAAAGAGGTACAGCTTTGCATTCCATTGAAATATAGTCATTATATATTGTCATAACTTTAAGATGTTTTATGAAGTCTTTATTTCTCAAGATGATTACAAAAAAACCTGTAGATGGTATGCAGAAGCAAATGAGAAAGAAATTGAATCATGTCACTACAAAATCAATGAAGAAAAATAAAGCAGTAAGAGAAAAAAATGATAAATAACACATCTACAAGAAACACAGAAGACAATTACAAATAATAATAGTAACTTCATTAACTACAGTAATTACTTCAAATACAAAAAGTTAAATACCTTAAAGAAAATGCATAAAATGATTTAATGGATTAAGAACAAAGAAGATCCAGCAATGTACTCTCTACAAGAGTCACTTTAGCTCTAAGGATTCAAATAAGTTGAAAGTAGCAGTATAAAGAAAATATATTTTATGCAAAGAGTAGCTACAATTGGAGGGGCATGGTCATAATTATATTAAACAAAATATATTTAAGTTAAAAATTTTAAAAAGAGACAGATTGTTATTATGTAACGGTGAGATGGATTAACTTGCAAGAAATCCATAACAATAATTAGAAATCATATATATAATTTGAAAAATCTGCAAAAATAATATGCAAAATTATATACCATTGGGATTTTGATAAAAATTACATTAAATTTTATATTACTATAAATAACACTGATATCTTTCTTTTTTTTTTTGGAGATAGAGTTTCTGTCTCCCAGGCTGGAGGACAATGGCACGATCTCGCGATTGGCTCACTTCAACCTCCGCCTCCCAGGTTCAACTCATTCTCGTCTTTCAAATATGTAAAACAAATATTGACAGAAGTCAAGCAAGAAATATATAGCAACACAACAATTGCGGACTTCAAGACTCCACTTTCAATAATGACTAGAATAGTCAGATGTAATATCAGTAAGAAAAGCCAAACCTGAACATTATAGACCTAACAAGCATTTACAGAACTCTGCGATCGAAAGCAGCAAAATATGCAATATTCTCAATCACACATGGTACATTCTGTTAGGATACATGTCTTATTAAATTTAAGAAAACTGAAGTCATGCAATGTAAATGAAACTAGAAATCAAAAGCAAGAAAATGTTTCAGATACGTAAATAAGAGGAAATTAAGCAAAATCTTACATATAGTCTTGCTCAAGTGTCAGGTGATTTAATATTGTTAAGATGTCAGGGCCGGCGCGTGACTCATGCCTGTAATCCCAGGACTTTGGGAGTCCAAAGTGTGTGGATCACTTGAGATCAGAAGTTTGAGACTAGCCTGGCCAACATGGCAAAACCCTATCTCTACTAAAAATACAAAAGTTAGCTATACATGTTGGTGCATGACTGTAATCCCAGCTACTCTGGTGGCTGAGACTGGAGAACTGGTGGCTGAGACTGGAGAATTGCTTGAACATGGGAAGCAGAGCTTGCAGTGAGCACAGCTCACACCACTGCCCTTCAGCCTGAGTGACTCACTAAAACTCCATCTCCAAAGGAAAAAAAAAAGGTTGTCAGTATTACCCATGATGATATAAAAATGTAATGTAATTTTCATCTAAATCCCAATGGTATTTTTTTTGCAGAATTTTTGTGTATAATTCTAAAAGTTGTTTAGGAAGTGTGACTAGGCAAACACCCTTTAAAAAGGACAAAGAGTTATTACATTTTCTGATTTAAAATCATGATACAAAGCTACAAAAATAAAAACAATATGGTATTGCCACAAAAACGGATACATAGATGATGAAACAGAATAGACATCCTGGAAATAAACCCTCGCATACGTGATAAAATAATCTTCCATATGCTTTCCATGACCATGCAATAGAAAAATAAGAATCTCTTTAACAAAGGATTTTCAAAATTGAATGTTTACAGAGCAAAAATAAAGTTGGATGCTTCTTTTGTATTATACATAAAAACAAAAGTTGATTTTTAATGGATTTAATGCTTAAACATAAAAACTAATAAAATTCTTAGAAGTAAACATAGGGGAAAAGTTTATGACATAAGTCTTAAAACTTTGCTTAAGTATGACATCAAATTCATAAGAAACAAGGAAAAGAACAAAAAAGAAAGGAACTACATTAACCTTCAAGTATTCTACACATCAAGGAAAACATTTAGTGGCATACAAATGTCTCCTAATAAGTGGGTGAAACCTGGGTATGCTGGCTCAAGCCTATAATTCTAGAAATTTAGGAGGCCAAGTCAGAACGATCATTTGAGGCCAAAAGTTTGAGACTAGCCATGAAAATATATCAAGACCCTGTCTTGTATAGGGTAATATATGTGCATACATACATACATATAACAAAAAAGTGTAAAAATATTTTCTAATCACATATTTGGTAGGTGTTAATTTCCAAAAGATATAAACTTCTGAAATTCAACAACAACAAAAAGTTAATAACTTGATTTAGAATGGTAAATGTTTGAAATGACCTTTCTCCAAAGAAGACATAGAAATGACTAGGTATTTAAAAGGATACTCGTCCGAGGGCAGGACTATGGGAGGCTGCCCTGTACGGAAAAGAAGAAGAAATGGCAGTAAAGAGGGCAACCATCATTCCACCCAGCCCAAAAGGAATAAGAGAAACCCTATCTTTCAGGATTCTCAAGACACAGTTTTCATGGAGTGATAATGAAAGGAGCAGCAGCCGCCTTAATATCCCAGAGAGAGAAGATGGACGAGAAGGCAACTTAAACCAGATTGTTACTGAACCCAATGCAAACTTTCCCTAGTTCTTGCATGAGGGGTATGTATCATGCCAAGGTCTTTACTCCCATATCAACCAGATCTTGAAGGAGGCTCACTTCAACAGCCTGCAGCAGTGAGGGCAAGCTCCAACATGATGAATTAGGACTTCCTTATTCCAACCTAAACTGTGTTTATAAAAGTAATTGCATACACACCAAAAAAAAAGTCTATTGGTTTTTAAGTCTAAATTTTAAGTAACAAGTTAATGGGCAGTTGTTTAATTGGGGTTTTACTTCACTGCTGTACTTTTAAAGAGGCTGTGAATAAATGTTTATGAAATTTAAAAAATAAAATAAAAAAATAAAAGGATACTCGACATCACTCTTCTAGAAAAATGCAAAGCAAAGTCACAATAATCTACGGCCTCAAGCCGATATTTAAAATAGTATGACAGCTCTTCAAAAAATTTAAAATGAGATTATTATATAATCCAGCAAACCCCCTTCTGGCTATGTACTTAAAATATACAACGCAGATCTGGAAGAGATATTTGCACAACCAAATTTATTGCAATATTATTAACACAAGCCAAAAGGCAGAAACAATCCAGATGTCCCTTGACCAATGAACAGATTAATAACAAGTGGCACATAAACAAAGTCGAATATTATTCAGTCTTTAAAAAGACACATTATATGATAATTCTGGAGAAGATCATGTTAATTGAAATAAGCCAGGAACAAAGTGACAGTCTATGATTCCATTCATAATCAGGTATCTTAAGTAGATATACTCATAGGAAAAAAAAGTTAGAATGGTGCTTGTCAAGGACTGAAGAGATGGTAAAATGAGCAGTTGTTTTATTTTTTATTTTTTTATTTTTTTTAATTATACTTTAAGTTTTGGGGTACATGTGCACATTGTGCAGGTTACACATGTATACATGTGCCATGCTGGTGTGCTGCACTCACTAACTCGTCATCTAGCATTAGGTGTATTTCCCAATGCTATCCCTCCCCCCTCCCCCCACCCCACAACAGTCCCCAGAGTGTGATATTCCCCTTCCTGTGTCCATGGGATCTCATTGTTCAATTCCCACCTATGAGTGAGAATATGCGGTGTTTGGTTTTTTGTTCTTGCGATAGTTTACTGAGAATGATGATTTCCAATTTCATCCATGTCCCTACAAAGGACATGAACTCATCATTTTTTATGGCTGCATAGTATTCCATGGTGTATATGTGCCACGTTTTCTTAATCCAGTCTATCATTGTTGGACATTTGGGTTGGTTCCAAGTCTTTGCTATTGTGAATAATGCCACAATAAACATACGTGTGCATGTGTCTTTATAGCAGCATGATTTATAGTCCTTTGGGTATATACCCAGTAATGGGATGGCTGGGTCAAATGGTATTTCTAGTTCTAGGTCCCTGAGGAATCGCCACACTGACTTCCACAACGGTTGAACTAGTTTACAGTCCCACCAACAGTGTAAAAGTGTTCCTATTTCTCCACATCCTCTCCAGCACCTGTTGTTTCCTGACTTTTTAATGATCGCCATTCTAACTGGTGTGAGATGGTATCTCATTGTGGTTTTGATTTGCATTTCTCTGATGGCCAGTGATGATGAGCATTTTTTCATGTGTTTTTTGGCTGCATAAATGTCTTCTTTTGAGAAGTGTCTGCTCATGTCCTTCGCCCACTTTTTGATGGGGTTGTTTGTTTTTTTCTTGTAAATTTGTTTGAGTTCATTGTAGATTCTGGATATTAGCCCTTTGTCAGATGAGTAGTTTGCGAAAATTTTCTCCCATTTTGTAGGTTGCCTGTTCACTCTGATGGTAGTTTCTTTTGCTGTGCAGAAGCTCTTTAGTTTAATTAGATCCCATTTGTCAATTTTGTCTTTTGTTGCCATTGCTTTTGGTGTTTTGGACATGAAGTCCTTGCCCATGTCTATGTCCTGAATGGTAATGTCTAGGTTTTCTTCTAGGGTTTTTATGGTTTTAGGTCTAATGTCTAACTCTTTAATCCATCTTGAATTGATTTTTGTATAAGGTGTAAGGAAGGGATCCAGTTTCAGCTTTCTACATATGGCTAGCCAGTTTTCCCAGCACCATTTATTAAATAGGGAATCCTTTCCACATTGCTTGTTTTTGTCAGGTTTGTCAAAGATCAGATAGTTGTAGATATGTGGCATTATTTCTGAGGGCTCTGTTCTGTTCCATTGATCTATATCTCTGTTTTGGTACCAGTACCATGCTGTTTTGGTTACTGTAGCCTTGTAGTATAGTTTGAAGTCAGGTAGTGTGATGCCTCCAGCTTTGTTCTTTTGGCTTAGGATTGACTTGGCGATGCGGGCTCTTTTTTGGTTCCATATGAACTTTAAAGTAGTTTTTTCCAATTCTGTGAAGAAAGTCATTGGTAGCTTGATGGGGATGGCATTGAATCTGTAAATTACCTTGGGCAGTATGGCCATTTTCACAATATTGATTCTTCCTACCCATGAGCATGGAATGTTCTTCCATTTGTTTGTATCCTCTTTTATTTCCTTGAGCAGTGGTTTATAGTTCTCCTTGAAGAGGTCCTTCACATCCCTTGTAAGTTGGATTCTTAGGTATTTTATTCTCTTTGAAGCAATTCTGAATGGGAGTTCACTCATGATTTGGCTCTCTGTTTGTCTGTTGTTGGTGTATAAGAATGCTTGTGATTTTTGTACATTGATTTTGTATCCTGAGACTTTGCTGAAGTTGCTTATCAGCTTAAGGAGATTTTGGGCTGAGACAATGGGGTTTTCTAGATATACAATCATGTCGTCTGCAAACAGGGACAATTTGACTTCCTATTTTCCTAATTGAATACCCTTTATTTCCTTCTCCTGCCTAATTGCCCTGGCCAGAATTTCCAACACTGTGTTGAATAGGAGTGGTGAGAGAGGGCATCCCTGTCTTGTGCCAGTTTTCAAAGACAATGCTTCCAGTTTTTGCCCATTCAGTATGATATTGGCTGTGGGTTTGTCATAGATAGCTCTTATTATTTTGAAATACGTCCCATCAATACCTAATTTGTTGAGAGTTTTTAGCATGAAGGGTTGTTGAATTTTGTCAAATGTTTTTTCTGCATCTATTGAGATAATCACGTGGTTTTTGTCTTTGGCTTTGTTTAAATGCTGGATTACATTTATTGATTTGTGTATATTGAACCAGCCTTGCATCCCAGGGATGAAGCCCACTTGGTCATGGTGGATAAGCTTTTTGATGTGCTGCTGGATTCGTTTTGCCAGTATTTTATTGAGGATTTTTGCATCAATGTTCATCAAGGATATTGGTCTTTAATTCTCTTTTTTCGTTGTGTCTGTGTGCGGCTTTGGTATCAGAATGATGCTGGCCTCATAAAATGAGTTAGGGAGGATTCCTTCTTTTTCTATTGTTTGGAATAGTTTCAGAAGGAATGGTACTAGTCCCTCCTTGTACCTCTGGTAGAATTCAGCTGTGAATCCATCTGGTTCTGGACTCTTTTTGGTTGGTAAACTATTGATTATTGCCACAATTTCAGATCCTGTTATTGGTCTATTCAGAGATTCAACTTCTTCCTGGTTTAGTCTTGGGAGAGTGCATGTGTCGAGGAATTTATCCATTTCTTCTAGATTTTCTAGTTTATTTGCGTAGAGGTGTTTGTAGTATTCTCTGATGGTAGTTTGTATTTCTGTGGGATCGGTGGTGATATCGCCTTTATCATTTTTTATTGCGTCTATTTGATTCTTCCCTCTTTTTTTCTTTATTAGTCTTGCTAGCAGTCTATCAATTTTGTTGATCCTTTCAAAAAACCAGCTTCTGGATTCATTGATTTTTTGAAGGGTTTTTTGTGTCTCTATTTCCTTCAGTTCTGCTCTGATTTTAGTTATTTCTTGCCTTCTGCTAGCTTTTGAATGTGTTTGCTCTTGCTTTTCTAGTTCTTTTAATTGTGATGTTAGGTTGTCAATTTTGGATCTTTCCTGCTTTCTCTTGTGGGCATTTAGTGCTATAAATTTCCCTCTACACACTGCTTTGAATGCGTCCCAGAGATTCTGGTATGTTGTGTCTTTGTTCTCATTGGTTTCAAAGAACATCTTTATTTCTGCCTTCATTTCGTTATGTACCCAGTAGTCATTCAGGAGCAGGTTGTTCAGTTTCCATATAGTTGAGCGGTTTTGAGTGAGATTCTTAATCCTGAGTTCTAGTTGAATTGCACTGTGGTCTGAGAGATAGTTTGTTATAATTTCTGTTATTTTACATTTGCTGAGGAGAGCTTTACTTCCAACTACGTGGTCAATTTTGGAATAGGTGTGGTGTGGTGCTGAAAAAAATGTATATTCTGTTGATTTGGGGTGGAGAGTTCTGTAGATGTCTATTAGGTCCACTTGGTGCAGAGCTGAGTTCAATTCCTGGGTATACTTGTTGACTTTCTGTCTTGTTGATCTGTCTAATGTTGACAGTGGGGTGTTAAAGTCTCCCATTATTAATGTGTGGGAGTCTAATTCTCTTTGTAGGTCACTCAGGACTTGCTTTATGAATCTGGGTGCTCCTGTATTGGGTGCATATATATTTAGGATAGTTAGCTCTTCTTGTTGCATTGATCCCTTTACCATTATGTAGTGGCCTTCTTTGTCTGTTTTGATCTTTGTTGGTTTAAAGTCTGTTTTATCAGAGACGAGGATTGCAACCCCTGCCCTTTTTTGTTTTCCATTTGCTTGGTAGATCTTCTTCCATCCCTTTATTTTGAGCCTATGTGTGTCTCTGCACGTGAGATGGGTTTCCTGAATACAGCACACTGATGGGTCTTGACTCTTTATCCACTTTGCCAGTCTGTGTCTTTTAATTGGAGAATTTAGTCCATTTACATTTAAAGTTAATACTGTTATGTGTGAAATTGATCCTGTCATTATGATGTTAGCTGGTTATTTTGCTCGTTAGTTGATGCAGTTTCTTCCTATTCTCGATGGTCTTTACATTTTGGCATGATTTTGCAGCTGCTGGTACCGGTTGTTCCTTTCCATGTTTAGTGCTTCCTTCAGGAGCTCTTTTAGGGCAGGCCTGGTGGTGACAAAATCTCTCAGCATTTGCTTGTCTGTGAAGTATTTTATTTCTCCACTTATGAAGCTTAGTTTGGCTGGATATGAAATTCTGGGTTGAAAATTCTTTTCTTTAAGAATGTTGAATATTGGCCCCCACTCTCTTCTGGCTTGTAGGGTTTCTGCCGAGAGATCCACTGTTAGTCTGATGGGCTTCCCTTTGAGGGTAATCCGACCTTTCTCTCTGGCTGCCCTTAACATTTTTTCCTTCATTTCAACTTTGGTGAATCTGACAATTATGTGTCTTGGAGTTGCTCTTCTCGAGGAGTATCTTTGTGGCGTTCTCTGTATTTCCTGAATCTGAACGTTGGCCTGCCCTGCTAGATTGCGGAAGTTCTCCTGAATAATATCCTGCAGAGTGTTTTCCAACTTGGTTCCATTCTCCCCATCACTTTCAGGTACACCAATCAGACGTAGATTTGGTCTTTTCACATAGTCCCATATTTCTTGGAGGCTTTGTTCATTTCTTTTTATTCTTTTTTCTCTAAACTTCCCTTCTCGCTTCATTTCATTCATTTTATCTTCCATTGCTGATACCCTTTCTTCCAGTTGATCGCATCGGCTCCTGAGGCTTCTGCATTCTTCACGTAGTTCTCGAGCCTTAGTTTTCAGCTCCATCAGCTCCTTTAAGCACTTCTCTGTATTGGTTATTCTAGTTATACATTCTTCTAAATTTTTTTCAAAGTTTTCAACTTCTTTGCCTTTGGTTTGAATGTCCTCCCGTAGCTCAGAGGAATTTGATCGTGTGAAGCCTTCTCTCAGCTCGTCAAAGTCATTCTCCATCCAGCTTTGTTCCGTTGCTGGTGAGGAACTGCGTTCCTTTGGAGGAGAGGCGCTCTGCGTTGTAGAGTTTCCAGTTTTTCTGTTCTGTTTTTTCCCCATCTTTGTGGTTTTATCTACTTTTGGTCTTTGATGATGGTGATGTACAGATGGGTTTTCGGTGTGGATGTCCTTTCTCTTTGTTAGTTTTCCTTCTAACAGACAGGACCCTCAGCTGCAGGTCTGTTGGAATACCCTGCTGTGTGAGGTGTCAGTGTGCCCCTGCTGGGGGGTGCCTCCTAGTTAGGCTGCTCGGGGGTCAGGGGTCAGGGACCCACTTGAGGAGGCAGTCTGCTGGTTCTCAGATCTCCAGCTGCGTGCTGGGAGAACCACTGCTCTCTTCAAAGCTGTCAGACAGGGATATTTAAGTCTGCAGAGGTTACTGCTGTCTTTTTGTTTGTCTGTGCCCTGCCCCCAGAGGTGGAGCCTACAGAGGCAGGCAGGCCTCCTTGAGCTGTGGTGGGCTCCACCCAGTTCGAGCTTCCCGGCTGCTTTGTTTACCTAAGCAAGCCTGGGCAATGGCGGGCGCCCCTCCCCCAGGGTCGCTGCCGCCTTGCAGTTTGATCAGACTGCTGTGCTAGCAATCAGTGAGATTCCGTGGGCGTAGGACCCTCCGAGCCAGGTGTGGGATATAATCTCGTGGTGCGCCGTTTTTTAAGCCGGTGTGAAAAGCGCAATATTCGGGTGGGAGTGACCCGATTTTCCAGGTGCGTCCGTCACCCCTTTCTTTGACTTGGAAAGGGAACTCCCTGACCCCTTGCGCTTCCCAAGTGAGGCAATGCCTCGACCTGCTTCGGCTCGTGCACGGTGCGCGCACCCACTGGCCTGCGCCCACTGTCTGGCACTCCCTAGTGAGATGAACCCGGTACCTCAGATGGAAATGCAGAAATCACCCGTCTTCTGCGTCACTCAGGCTGGGAGCTGTAGACCGGAGCTCTTCCTATTCGGCCATCTTGGCTCCTCCCTCTTGCTTAACTGTTAAAGGGGTAATGTTCTATCTAAAACTTGGAGTCAGCTGATATAAAAGTTTTAACTCTTAAGTGGAGATAGGGATGCTATGTAGCAAGATTGCTGACCTGCATGCATGGCTTAACACTTGCCTTGCACTGCCTTAAATTGTGGCAATAATTTGGTATTATATTGCCACAGAGTCAGTTTTGTCAGTCTTATGATCTCTATTTTAACATTAGTGCTGATGATTTGTTGTACCTAAAGAGCAAACAGAGGTACAACAGCAAACAGGTGTGTAACAAGGCCTGTCTCCTCCTGTTCTGTGTGGGAGATGCTGATGGGAGAAGAAAAGACACACACAATACCTTTAAGGGCAAACAACTTTTTTATCCCATGTAAATGGCATTGCAGATATCTATATCTATATCTATATTTTTATCTATCTATCTATATCTATGTATGTATGTATCTATCTATCTATATCTATATCTATGTATATATACTCACCAGACTATACAGCATTCATGGCCAGATGGGGAAGCAACAGCCTAGGCTCCAGAGTTGGCTACTACACCCACCAGACTATGGAGGTTTCACTTTTCAGCTTCAAGATCACGGCTGGAAGCTCAGGGACTTCCCACATTCCAGGATAGAAACTCCTCCAGTTCTCCCTCTTGGCAATTGAATGGTCGGGGGAACTGACCTTAGTGAAAATTGGGTATCTAAATTATTGGAATTTGAACCTTTGACTGTGCATGAAGTGCTGCAGGGGATTTCGGTCAGCAAAGGAGATGCCAGGGGGATCTCTTAGCATAGATGGTGCTTGCTTACTGCTTATAAGTTAATGTGTTGAGATAGAAATCAATTGCTACAAGATAAATGTAAACTGGAAAAAGAAAACACTACTCTGACTTCCAGACTGGCCCTGGCTCAATTTCAGGCCTATGTCTTGACTGATCAGGCTCAAAGCTAACAGATTATTGATGAAAAAAACAGCTGTGCAAGTGGTGTGGTCAGGGTAAAACTGAAGAACGAGTCAGCTGGGGCTTGGAGTGGGTAAAAACCCAGTTCCTATCTGAAGAATGGGAAATTAGCCTTTACAAATTTCAAGAACCTGCACAAACTATAAAATTGCTTTGCATCCCATGGAACGCAAGGAAAAAGTCCATTTTACCAAAGGCTATGGTTAAAATACTAGAATTTGCAACCCCTACCACTAAAAAGGAGGCCCAGAAATTTATTGGCTTGTTTGAATTCTGGAGACATCTTCCCGATTTGGGTAACATCTCACAACCTCTGTATGCAGTCACTAGAAAATATAATGACTTTCACTGGAGGTAGAAAGAGAACACAGCCTTTGAGCAAGCTAAGCAAGCAGTGCATCTGGCCCTGGATGGCCCATATGGGATGGGACCGTAGAATTGCAAACAACTGTCCTGGATTAACATGCTAATTGGAGCCTTTGGCAGAAACAAGATGGGAAGAGGGGACTCTTGGGGTTTCAAACCCGGAAGCTGCCAGAGGCTGGCGAAGCTTATAATCCTTTTGAGAAGCGACTGTTAGCTTGCTATCGGGCTTTGCTGGAAATGGAGACTCTCTGCTTCAACCATGATGTCTTCATAAGGCCTGAAATTCCTATTATGACTTGGGTCATGAGGTCCACCAAAACCCATCGAATAGGGCATGCTGAAGAAAGTAGCATCACATAATGGAATGGTATATACAAGATAGGGTAAAGCCAGGACCAAAGGGGGTATCGTTTTTAAAAAATTTGCCAACTCAGAAAGCCACCGAACAAGTCCTGCAGGCAGGGAAAGAGACCTGCCTCATCCAAAGCATCAGAAACATGCTTGGTTTACTGATGGATCTGCCAGATACATTGGTGGGACCCGATGCGGGGAGGCCGTGGCTTATAATCCTGTTAAAAACATAAGTATTTCTGATGAAGGAAGGGATGGGAGCAGCCAGCTGGCTGAGCTAGTAGCCATGTTCCCAGCTATTCAGAAGAAGGCCAGAGGGATTTGACACTTGTATACCAACTCTTGGTCAGTAGCAAATGGTCTTACTATCTAGATGCCTCAATGGCAATGAGGCAAATGGTTAATTGGGAATAAAGAGGTTTGGGGAAAGAATACAGGGAAGATATCTGAATCCCTGTGCACCCTACCATTAACACTGTTATGTTGATGCTCATGCATCTCTGCTTTCTCTTGGCAGACTAATTAATCAGCAGGCAGGTCAACAGGCCAAAATTTCCACCATAACTGCAAACCCAAATGTGGATGAATGGATTACAACACGTCCAAGCATTGGAATGAGAGGCATTATAGTGTATGGTGGTGTAATTGATAGTGATTACCGGTGAGAGTTAAAAATCTTTTAACACAATACCACCGAAAATTCTTTTGCCATAAAGCCGCAGATGCAGATTGCTCAGCTACTGGTAGTACCGTGTCACCAATTAACCCCGAGGAAATTTCTGCCCCAATAGGAACATCATATAGAACTGGAGGATTTGGGTCCACCAAAGTGGGCAGCTTAAATCCTGGGGCCACAGTATGGGGGCAGGAAATGAGGGGAGTAGTAAAATTTTAAAAACAATGTTATGTTCCCCTCTGTTTTTGTTATTAAAAGGAATAGCCTATCGAATGATGGTCAGCACCTGCTTCTTTGTGTCTGAGGCCAAGAATGCATTTAGCAACTGGGTAGCCACCGCTGCAACAGAAGTCAACTGCAGTTAGTGCTGCCTTTTAGTCGAATTGCCACAGGCTGCAGGGAATGGGCTCCCTTAAAAAATTGTCTCTGCCAACATTTCCAAGTGGTTACATCACTACCAAGGGGGTCAGGAGAATAGCACCTGTAATCCCACCTGGACTTCTTTTAACCAAAACAAAGAGTCTATTTTTGCCCAAGTCTGACAAAAGGAGAAATCCACTTTTGCAATGCATCAAAGGCCTTTGTATCCTACCCAATATACCTGGAAAGACATATACAGGGAACCTACCATACCGGTAGCTGAACTCCATATGGCACCGCACCCCACCTTTGTCTGGAGGCCTTAAATGGCTCTTTTAATGTTACTCTGGGGTTTCTCCCACCAGACAATTGTCAACACATACTCCAAATCAACAGCATTGTCCCCAATGAAACACAACCTCTTTCCTAAATCTAGATGCTTCCAAACATCACTGGTTACAAATGCGCCAGAATCCCTGATGGGGTGTACCCTATAACAGTGTTCTCCTCTGCCACTGATACAATTCTGCTTCAGCAAAAAATTTAAATATTAAGCTTACATGTAGAAAAAGCTCTTAATGGTAGTAGCACTGGACTTATGTTGTTATCAGAGGAATTTGCTCAGTTGTGTAGTGTTGTGTTGCAAAATCAAATGGCATTAGGTATGCTTACCGCAGCCCAAGGAGCGTTTCAGCCTTGCTGCATACTGAATTTTGTGTGTGTATCCCTGACAGTTCTCACAATATTACTCTCCTCGCCCAAGACATGCAAGGACAAGCAAAACAAAATCTAACTGTCAGGACCCCATCATGAATTGGCTGTCCAACTGGCATTGGCGTTGGCCTTGGTGGGTGCGGTTTTTATTAACTGTGTTTTAATTCTCCTCTGCTTACCCTGCTTCTGTAACCTCTACCAATTATGTATTCCTCGTATATCTGTAAGGGTATTTTCCTACATTTGAGTATCAATTGGGACCGAATACGCAGAAAAAGTTAAATAATATATTTAAACTCAATTGAACATGGACACAAATAATGGTCACCAAGTCTCGGAATAGGTTTTGTGAGCCCCTTGAGGCATTCATCCAGCACTGTTTCAGAGAAATCTCTATTTCAATCTATTCCTATACTTTAGTTATTGAAAAACAACAGACAACGGCAAAAGCAAATTGACCTTTTTGTGTTCCTTTGTGCATGGATGAGTGGCTGACTCTGGAGCCCAGGCTGTTGCTTCTCGGTCTGGTGATGAATCCTCCATAGTCTATCCTCATATATATATACACACATTTTTTTCCTTCTCCCCTTCCCACTGCAATTTGCTTATTGTATCAATTTGCTTATTCTATCATTTGCTTATTATATCTGAATTGCCATTTATGTGGGATCGAGTTTGTTGACCTTTAAAGGTATTGTGTGTGTGTGTTTTCTTCTTCCCTGGAGCATCTCCTGCACATAACACCTCTCTTGCTGTCATAGCCAGAAATTCAGTTTTTAAGTTTTTTTCTGGGGTCTTCTTGCTCAAGAGGAAGTATGTTCAGTTGATACGGGGCTTAGAATTTTATTTATAGCTTTTATTACATTCTAAAACCCCCAGCAGAAACAAGTCTTAACAAACACAGATTTTAATTTCTGAACATTCTTCTAATAAGTTTTGCACAGGTAGCGGAACAACTAAAAAAACTGTTTTTTGCATTGATGGTCTACCTCATTACAATTTAACCTCTAAAGGGTGTTTTAGCCAGCTCTAGAGTCTGCTACGGTTAAGGTGAATTTACTGCTTCTTCCCATAATAAAGAATGGTATTTTAAAATAACATAACTTCTATGGCATATATTTTTAAAGCATGACCACAATTTGAATAATTAGAACATTTAAAAATTCGAAATATTGTTATACTGACACTGCACCAAAATTTATCCTTCCAATGATGACAGGGAATTTTTAATAGTTGTTATTTTTATAGTAAAATTAAACTTTAATAAAATAACTGACTTTCAAACTTCAGCAAGAAGACACATATTCAGCCAGAGATATCAGTTCCCCTTTAGAAAAAAATACTCACTTCTCATTAAAATCTCTCTGTATCTTACTGATTTCAGATAGAATTTAAATTTCACCTTAATAACAGAAACAAAAGAACTAGTTAATCTAACAAAAACTAATAAACGTATGCCCAAATTTACTGGCAGAATCATGGGTACGTCATATAATAGTAACATTCTACCAGTTTTAAGTAAAATAAATAAGGAAATAATCTTAACAGTGCAACCTACCAGGAGGGGCCTATCCCTACTCCCAGGTGAGTGGGAACCCTGCGCTCTGGGGGGGTTGCGCCTCAGCCTCTGGCACCTCTTGTTGGCAGCGTCGCCGTTGCAGGCACAGGGCAGGCGTCGGGGGACGTGCAGTGGGCCAGGCCCAGGCACGTCCTTTGCCAGGGGCTGGGCAGGTGCGGAGAGGGGCGGAGCGGTGCTGCCCTGGTCGAGGGAGCCTCCAGCTCTGGACAGTTTGCCGCCCCTGCCTCAGGAGGGCGCTGAAGGAGCTGAGTGGGGAAGCGGAGGGACGAGGGGATTCAGGCCAGGCCAGGTGGCCCTTTAGCCCTGGGTGATGCAGGAGGGGCTGTGGAAGACCAGAGAAGACCCGGAGCAGAAACTGGGAACTGATATCTCTGGCTGAATATTTGTCCTCTTGCTGAAGTTTGAAAGTCAGTTATTTCATTAAAGTTTAATTTTATTATAAAAATAGCAACTATTAAAAATTCCCTGTAGTCACTGGAATGATAATTTTTGGTGCCGTTTCAGCATAATAATCTTTGGAGTTTTTAGATATTCTAATTATTCAAATTGCGGCCATGTTTCAAAATATATGCCATATAATTTTATGGCATCCGCCTCTGTGTCCCTGTTGGCTCAGGAAACGTGCTTCTTCCTCCTTCCGCAGGCTCAGATCAGGCCGCCCTTCCTCCTGGCGTCTGAGGCGGGCATGGGGATAGCCTGCCAGCGAATAGCCTGACAATGCCCGGCCTGTGCCCTGTGCTCAGCATGGGGTCCTGGCTGGTGCCCCTCAGAGCCCCTCACAAAGTAGCGTGACAGGTGTGGAAGGACCCAGAACCCGGCAGCGGTGAGCGGATGGATGTTCCAGGGATGTGGGGCAGCTGGCAGTCAAGATCCCACTGCCAAATTCAATGGCATAACGTTGCATATTTTTCCCTTATATTTTTGTGTAGGAGTTTTACAGCTTTCAGCCTTACATTTGTATTTTCTTAACATAGGATTCCAGAACAATGCTACGAGGGTCTGAATGCCTGTCCCACACGTAGGATTCCAGAACACATCAGCTGTGGTCTGAATGATTGCCCCTCACATATGATTCCAGAACAGTCCTGCTGCGGTCTGAATGATTGTACCTCACACAGGGTTCTAGAGCACTCCTTCCCTAGTCTGAATATTTGTCCGTCAGATAAGATTCCAGAACACTGCTGCTGGGTTCTGAGTTTTTGTCCCTCACATACAATTCCAGAACACTGCTAGGGGGGTCTGAATGTTTGTACCTCACATAAGATTCCAGAACACTGTTATGAGGGTCTGAATCTTTGTCCCTCACATAGGACTCCAGAACACTCCTGCTGTGTTCTGAATGTGATTTCCTAACATAGGATTACAGAACAATGCTACGAGGGTCTGAATGCTTGTCCCACAAGTAGGATTCCAGAACACTCCAGCTGTGGTCTGAATGGTTGTCCCTCACATAGGATTCCAGAACACTGCTGCTGGGTTCTGAGTGTTTCTCCCTCACATAGGATTCCACAACAGTGCTACAAAGGTCTCAATGTTTGTCCCGCACATAGGACTCCAGAGCACTCCTGCTGTGTTCTGAATGTATTTTCCTAACCTAGGATTCCAGAACAGTGCTACGAGAGTCTGAATGCTTGTCCCACACGTAGGATTCCAGGAGATGCCAGCTGTGGTCTGAATGATGGTCCCTCATATAAGATTCCAGAACAATGCTGCTGGGTTCTGAGTGTTTGTCCCTCACATAGGACTGCAGAACACTGCTACGAGGGTCTGAATGATTGTACCTCACATAGGATTACGGAACACTCCTGCTCTGGTCTGAATGTTTGTCCCTCAAATGGGATTCCAGAACACTGAGTTTGGGATCTGAGTGTTTGTCCCTCACGTATGACTCCAGAACACTGCCTCATGGTTGTAAATGTTTGTCCATCACATAGAATTCCAGAACACTGCTATGAGGGATTGAAAGTTTGTCCCGCACATAGGACTCCAGAACATTCCTGCTCTGCTCTGAATGTTTGTCCCTCACATAGGATTCCAGAACACTGCTGCTGCGTTCTGAGTGTTTCTCCCTCACATAGGATTCCACAACACTGCTACGAGTTTCTGAATGTTTGTCCCTCACATAGGATTCCAGAACACTGCTACGTGGGCCTAAATGTTTGTCCCTCACATAGGAGTCCAGAACACTGCTGCTTTGGTCTGAATGTTTGTCCCTCACTTAGGATTCCAGAACACTCCTTCTGTGGTCTGAAAGTTTCTCCCTCACAAAGGATTACAGAACACTGCTCCTGGTTTCTGAGTGTTTGTCTTTTACATAGGATTCCAGAACACTGCTACGAGGGTCTGAATGTTTGTCCCTCATATAGGATTCCAGAACACTACTGCTGTGGTCTGAATACTTGACCCTTATATAGGATTCCAGAACATTCCTCCTGTCATCTGGGTGTTTGTGCCTCACAAGGGTTTCCAGATCTATCCTGCTGTGTTCTGAATGTTTCCCCCTCACATAGGATTCCAAAACATTTCTTCTCTGGTCTGAGTGTTTCTCCCTCAAATAGGATTCCAAAACACTGCTACTGGAGTCTGAATGTTTGTCCCTCACATAGGATTCCAGAACACTGCTATGAGGGTCTGAATTATTCTCCCTGACATAGCGTTCCAGAACACTCCTGCTGTGTTCCGAATGTTTGTCTCTCACTCAGGATTCCAGAACACTCGTGCTGTGGTCTGAAAGTTTGTCCCTCACTTAGGATTCCAGAGCACTGCTGTTGGTTTCTGAGTGTTTGTACTTAACGTAAGATTCCAGAACACAGCTACTTGGGTCTAAATGTTTGTCCCTCACATAGGATTCCAGAACACTGCTACGAAGGTCTGAATTTTTCTCCCTCACATGGGATTCCAGAACACTCCTGCCATGCTCTGAATGTTTGTCCCCCCCTAAGGAATCCAGAACACTGCTGTTGGGTTCTCAGTGTTTGTCCCTCTAGTACGATTCCAGAACACTGCTACGAGGCTCTGAATGATTGTACCTCACATAGGATTCCAAGACACTCTTGCTCTGTTCTGAATGTTTGCCGCTCAAATAGGATTCCAGAACACCGCTGCTGGCTTCTGAGTGTTTGTCCCTCATGTATGATTCCAGAACACTGCTGCTGTGGTCTGAATGCTTGTTCCTCACATAATATTCCAGTACACTACTGCTGTGTTATGAATGATTGTCTCTCATATAGGATTCCAGAACACTACTATTGTAGTCTCAATGGTTGACCCTCACATGGGATTCCAGAAAACTGCTGCTGTAGTCTCAGTGGTTTTGCCTCACATGGGATTCCAGAGCAATCCTCTTGTGGTCTGAGTGTTTCTCACTCACAAAGGATTCCAAAACACTCCTGCCATGGTCTGAGTGTTTGTCCCTCAAGTAAGATTCCACAACACTGCTACTGGGCTCTGAATGTTTGTCCCTCACATAGGATTCCAGAACACTGCTACTAGAGTTTGAATTATTCTCCCTCACATAGGAATCCGCAACACTCCTGCTGTGGTCTGAATGTTTGTCCCTCACTTAGGATTCCAGAACACTGCTGCTGGGTTTGCAGTGTTTGTCCCTCACATCGGATTCCAGAACACTGCTAGGAGAGTTTGAATGTTTGTCCCTCACATAAGATTCAAGAACACTGCTACGAGGGTGTGAATGTTTGTCTCTCAGATAGGATTCCAGAACACTCCCGCTGTGGTCTGAAAGTTTGTCCCTCACATAGGATTCCAGAACACTACCCCTGGGGTCTGAATGTTTGTCTCTCACATAGGATTCCAGAACAATCCTGCTGTGGTGTGAATGTTTGTACCTAAAATAGGATTTCGGAACACTGCTGCTGGCGTCTGAATGTTTGTACCTCACATGGGATTCCAGAACAATCGTGCTGTGGTCTGAACGTTACTCACATAGGATTCCAGAACATTCCTTCTGTGGTCTGAATGTTTCTCCCTCACGTCGGATTCCAGAACACTGCTACGAGAGTCTGAATACTTTTCCCTCACATAGGATTTCAGAACACTGCTAAGAGGGTCTGAATGTTTGTCCTTCACATAAGATCCAAGAACACTGCCTCTGGGTTTTGATTGTTTGTCCTTCACATCGAATTCTAAAACACTGCCACAGGAGTCTGAAAGTTTGTCCCTCACATAGGATTCAAGAACACTGCTAAGAGGTTCTGAAGCTTTGTCCCTCACATAGGATTCTGGAAAAATTTTGCTGTGATCTGAATGTTTGTTCTGCACAAAGGATTCCAGAAAACTTCTGCTGTGGTCTGTATATTTGTCCCTCACATAGGATTCCAGAACACCCCTGCTGGGTTCTGGCTGTCCCTCACATAAGACGCAATAACCCTCCTGCTGTGATCTGTATGTTTGTCCCTCACATAGGATTCCACAACACTGCTAGGAGGGTCTGAATGTTTGTCCTTCACATAGGATTCCAGAACACTGCGGCTGGGGACTAAATGTTATTCCTTCAAAAAGGATTCCAGAACACTTCTGCTGGGGTCTGGATGTTTTCTCCCTCACATAGGATTGCTTAAAAATGCTTCTAGACTCTAAATGTTTGTCCATCACAGAGGATTCCAGAACCGTTCTGCTGGTTTCTGACTGTTTCTCCCACACATAGGTATCCAGAACACTGCTGCAGGGGTCCGAATGTTTATCCATCACATAGGATTAAATAATACTCCTGCTTAGGTCTGAATGTTTGCCCCTCATATAGGATTCCAGAACAATGCTTCTGGCATCTGAATGTTTGTCGCTCGCATAGGATTCCACAACACTGCTGCTGGTTTCTGAGTGTTTGGCCTTCACATAGGATTCCAGAACACTGCTACCAGGGTCTGAATGTCTGTCTCTCACATAGGATTCCAGAACATTCCTCCTGTGGTATGAATGTTTGTCCCTCTCATAGGATTACAGAACACTGCTGCTGGGTTCTGAGTGGTTAGCCCTCACAAAGGATTCCAGAACACTGCTAAGAGGGACTGAATGTTTGTCCCTCAAATAGCATTCCAGAACACTCCTGATGTGGTCTAAATATCCGTTCCTCACATAGGATTCCAGAAGAATTCTGCTCTAGTCTGAATCTTTGTCCCTCACTAGTATTCCAGAACACTGCTTCAAAGGTCTGAATGTTTGTCCCTCACAGGGGATTCTAGTACACTCCTGTTGTGGTCTGACTGTTTGTCCCCCACATAGGATTCCAGAACACTGCTAGGAGGAACTAAATGCTTACCCCTCACATAGGTTTCTGGAACACTCTTACCAGGGTCTGAATGTTTGTCCCTCACAGGGGATTCTAGAACACTCCTGATGTGGTATGAGTGTTTCTCCCTCACATATGATTCCAGAACACTCCTGTTGTTGTCTGAATGCTTTTCCCTCACACAGGGTCCCAGAACACTCCTGTTGGGTTGTGAGTGTTTGTCCCTCTCCTAGGATTCCAGAAAACTGCTATGAGGTTCTGAATATTTGCCCCTCACATAGGACTCCAGGACACTGCTGCTGTGTTGTAAATGTTTGTTTCTCACATAGGATTTCAGAAGACTCCTGCTGTTGTCTTAAAGTTTGTCCCACACATAGGATTCCAAAACACTCCCGCTGTTGTTTGAATGCTTGTCCCTTACATAGGATTCCAAAACAATGCTGCTGGCGTCTGAATGTTTGTCCCTCACGTAGGATTCAAGAACACCGTTACGAATGTCTGAATGTTTGTTCCTCACATAGGATTTCAGAACAATACAGCTGTGATCTGACTGTTTGTCCCTCAAATAGGGTTCCAGAACACTGCTGCTGGGTTCTGAGTGTTTGTCCCTCACATCTGATTCCTGAACACCGCTGCGAGTGTCTGAATGATTGCCCCTCACATAGGATTCTAGAACAGTGCTGCTGAGGTCTAAATGTTTGTCCGACACATATGATTCCAGAACACTGCTAAGAGGGTCTGAAGGTTTGTTCCTCACACAGAATTCCAGAACACTGCTACGAGCATCTGAAAGTTTGTCCCTCACACAGGATTCCAGAACACTGCTACGAGGGTCTGAAAGTTTGTCCCTCACACAGAATTCCAGAACACTGCTACGAGCATCTGAAAGTTTGTCCCTCACACAGAATTCCAGAACACTGCTACAAGCATCTGAATGATTGTCCCTCATATAGGATTCCAGAACGCTGTTGCTGGGGTGTGACTGTTTGTCCCTCACATAGGATTCCAGAACAATGCTGCTGGAGTCTATATGTATGTCCTTCACATGATTCCAGAACCCTGCTGCTGGGTTCTGAGTATTTCTCCCTCACATAGAATTCCAGAACACTGCGACGAGGGTCTGAATGTTTGTTCATAACATAGGATTCCAGAACACTTTCGCTGTTGTTTTAATGTTTGTCCCTCACATAGGATTCCAGAACACTGCTGCTGAGGTCTGAATGTTTGTCCCTCGCATAGGATTCCAGAACACTGCTGAGACTGTCTGAATGTTTGTCCCTCACATATTATTCCAGAACATTGCTACGATTGTCTAAATGTTTGTCCCTAACATAGCATTCCAGAACAATGCTCCGAGGGTCTGAATGTTTGTCCCTCACATATGATTCTGGAACACTGATACGATTGTCTGAATGTTTCTCCCTCACATATGATTCTGGAACACTGCTACGAGGGTCTCAAAATTTGTCTCTCACATAGAATTCCAAAACACTCCTGCTGTGTTTTGAGTGTTTGTCCCTAACATAGGATTCCAGAACAATCCTGCAGTGGTCTGAATGTTTGTCCCTCACATAGGGTTCCAGAACACTGCTGCTGGGTTCTGAGTGTTTGTACCTCACATAGGATTCCAGAAAACTGCTGGTATGGTCTAAATGTTTGTCCATCACGTAGGATTCCAGAACATTGCTACGAGGGTCTGAATGTTTCCTCCTCACAGGGGATTCCGTAACACTCCTGCTGTGGTCTGAATGTTTGTCCCTCAGACAGGATTCCAGAACACTGCTACGAGGTTCCTAATGTATGTCCATCACACAGAATTCCAGAACACTGCTCTGAGGGTCTGAATGATTGTCCCTCTCATGTTATTCCAGTACACTACTGATGGGGTCTGAATGTTTGTCCCTCACATAGGATTCCAGAACACTGCTACGGGGCTCTGAATATTTGTCACTCACATAGAATTCCAGAACCCTTCTACGATTGTCTGAATGTTTGTCCCTCATATAGGATTCCAGAACACCGCCACGAATGTCTGAAGTTTTGTCCCTCACTTAGGATTCCAGAAGAATACAGCTGTGGTCGGAATGTTTGTATCTCACATAGGGTTCCAGAACACTGTTGCTGGGTTCTGAGTATTTGTACTTCACATAGGATTCCAGAACACTGCTACGAGTGTTTGAATGACTGTCCCTCACATAGGATTCCAGAACACTTCTACGATTGTCTGAATGTTGGTCTCTCAAACAGGGTTCCAGAAGACTGCAGCTGGGTTCTGAGTGTTTGTCCCTCACTTAGAATTCCAGAACACTGTAACGACGGTTTGAATATACGTTCCTAACATAGGATTCCAGAACACTCCCGCTGTTGTTTGAATGTTTGTCCCTCACATAGGATTCCAGAACACTGCTACGGTTTTCTGAATGTTTGTCCCTCACATAGGATTCCAGAACACTTCTACCAGGGTCTGAATGTTTGTCCCTCACATAGGATTCCAGAACACTTCTACGATTGTCTGAATGTAGGTCCCTCGCATAGGATTCCAGAACATTGTTATGAGGGTCTGAATGTTTGTTCCTCACAGGGGATTCCAAAACACTCCTGCTGTGTTCTGAGTGTTTGTCCCTCACATACGATTCCAGATCACTGCAACGAGGGTCTGAATGAATGTGCCTCATATAGGATTCTAGAACGCTGCTGCTGAGGTCCGAATGTTTCTCTCTCACATAGGGTTTCAGAAAACTGTTACAAGGGTCTGAATGTTTGTCCCTAATATAGGATTCCATAGCACTCCGGCTGTGGTCTGAATGTCTGTCCCTCACACAAGATTCCAGAACTCTGCTGCTGTAGTATGAATGGATCTCCATCACATAGCATTCCAGAACACTGCTACGAGGGTCTGAATGTTTGTGCCTCAAATAGGATTCCAGAACACTGCTGCTGGAGTCCGAATGTTTGTGCTCACATAGGATTCCAAAGCACTGCTATGAGATTCTGAATGTTTTTCCATCACATAATATTCCAGAAAACTGCTACGAGCGTCTGGAAGTTTGTGCCTCACATAGGACCAAAGAACTCTGCTGCTAGAATGCGAATGTTTGTTGCTAACATACAATTCCAGAACACTCCTGCTGTGTCTGAATGTTTGTCTTTCACAAAAGATTCCAGAACACTCCTACCGGGGTCTTAATTTTTGTCCCTCACATAGGATTCAACAACACTGTTGCTGGGGTCTCAAAGTTTGTCCCTCAGGTAGGATTCCAGAACACTGCTGCTGGGGTCTAAAAGTTTGTCTGTCACATAGGATGCCAGAAAACTGCTGTTAGTTTCTGAGTGTTTCTCCCTCACATAGAATTCCATAACAATGCAATGAGGATCTGAATGTTTGTCCATAACATAGGATTTCAGAACACTCCAGTTATTGTTTCAATGTTTGTCCCTCGCATAGGATTCCAGAACACTGCTAAGAGGGTCTGAATGTTTGTCCCTCACATAGGATTCCAAAACACTCCTGCTGTGTTCTGAGTGTTTGTCCTTCACATAGGATTCCAGATCAATCATACAGTGGTCTGAATGTGTGTCCCTCACATAGGTTTCCAGAACACTGCTAAGAGGTTCTGAATGTTTGTCCCTCACATAGGATTCCAAAACACTCCTGCTGTGTTCTGAGTGTTTGTCCTTCACATAGGATTCCAGATCAATCATGCAGTGGTCTGAATGTGTGTCCCTCACATAGGTTTCCAGAACACTGCAACAGGGGTCTGAATGTTTTTCCCTCACATTGCATTCCAGAAAACTGCTACGATTCTCTGAATGTTTGTCCCCCACATAGGATTCCAGAACACTGCTACGAGGGTCTGATTGTTTTTTTCTCACATTGGACCCCAGAACTCTGTTGCTGGGGTCTATATGTTTCTCTGTCAAATAGGATTCCAGAACCCTGATACGAGGGTCTGAATGTTTGTTCCTCACAGGGGATTCCAGAACACTCCTTCTTTGGTTTAAAGCTTTGTCCCTCACACGGAATTACAGAACAGTGGTACGAGGGTCTGAATGATTGTCCTTCCCATAGGATTCCAGAACACTGCTATGATAGTCTTAATATTTGTCCCTCACATAGGATTCCAGAACACTGCTACGATAGTCTGAATGTTTGTCCCTAACATAGGATTCCAGAACACTGCTATGAGGATCTGAATATTTGTCTCTCACATAGGATTCCAAAACACTCTTGCTGTGTTCTGAGGGTTTGTCTCTCACATAGGATTCCAGAACACCGCTACGACAGTCTGAATGTTTGTCCCTCACATTGGATTTAAGAACACTGTTATGAAGTTCTGAATGTTTGTCCCTCACATAGGATTCCAGAACACTGCTACGATTATGTGAATGTTTGCTCCTCACATAGGATTCCAGAACACTGCTACGAGGGTCTGAATATTTGTCCTCCAAGTTGGATTCCAAAACACTCCTGCTGTTTTCTGAATGTGTGTCCCTCACATAGAATTCCAGAACAATCCTGCTGTGGTCTGAATGTTTGTCCCTAACATAGTGTTCCAGAACACTGCAGCTGGGTTCTGAGTGTTTGTCCCTCACATAGGATTCCAGAACACTGCTACGAGTGTCTGAATGTTTCTCTCTCACATAGGATTCCAGAACACTGCTGCTGGGGTTTAAATGATTGTCCATCACATAGGATTCCTGAACACTGCTACGAGTGTCTCAATGTTTGTTCCTCACCGGGGATTCCACAACACCCCTGCTGTGGTCTGAAAGTTTGTCCCTCACATTGAATTCCAGAAAACTGCAAGGAGGGTCTGAATGTTTGTCCCTCACACAGAATTCCAGAACACTACTACGAGGGTCTGATTGACTGTCCCTCACGTAGGATTCCAGAACACTGCTTCTGGGGTCTTAATGTTTGTCCCCCACATAGGACTCCAGAACACTGCTGCAGGAGTCTATGTGTATGTCTTTCACATCGGATTCCAGAACACTGAGGCCGGGTTCTGAGTGTTTCTCCCTCACATAGATTCCAGAACACTGCATCGAGGGTCTGAATGTATGTTTCTTTTTATGTTATATTATTTCGTTTATTATTATTATACTTGGAATTTATGTTTCTAACGTAGGATTCCAGAACACTTCCGCTGTTTTTTGAATGTTTTTCCCTCACATAAGATTCCAGAACACTGCTGCTGGGGACTGAATATTTGTCACTCACATTCCAGAACAGTTCTACGGTTGTCTGAATGTTTCTCCCTCACATAGGATTCCAGAACACTGCTACAAGGGTCTGAATGTTTGTCCCTCAGATAGGATTTCAGAACACTTCTACGATTGTCTGATTGTTGGTCCCTCACATCGGATTCCAGAACACTGCGACGAGGGTCTGAATATTTGTTCCTCACAGGGGATTCCAAAACACTCCTGCTGTGTTCTGTTTGTCCCTCACATAGGATTCCAGATCACTGCAACGAGGGTCTGAATGAATGTGCCTCATATAGTATTCCAGAACACTGCTGCTGGGGTCTGAATGTTTGTCCCTCACATAGGATTCCAGAACACTGCTGCTGCAGTCTACTCGTGTGTCCCTCACATTGGATGCCAGAACACTGCTGCTGGTTCTGAGTGTTTCTCCCACACATAGAATTCCAGAACACTGCAACGGGGGTCTGAATGTATGATCCTAACTTAGGATTCCAGACCACTCCCGCTCTTGTTTGAGTGTTTGTCTGTCACATGGGATTCCAGAACACTTCTGCTAGGGTCTGAATGTTTGTCCATAACATAGGACTCCAGAACACTCCCGCTGTTGTTTGAACGTTTGTCCCTCATATAGGATTCTAGAACACTGCTTCTAGGTTCTGAATGTTTGTCCCTCACGTAGGATTCCAGAACACTGCTACAATTGTCTGAACCTTTGTCCCTCATATAATATTCCAGAACACTTCTGTGAGGATCGAAATGTTTGTCACATATTATTACAGAACACCCCCACTCTGGTCTGAATGTTTCTCCCGCACATAGGATGACAGAATACTGCTGAGAGGGTCTGAATGATTGTCCCTCAAATAGGATTCCAGATCAATGCTGCTGGGGTCTAAAGGTTTGTCCGTCACATCGGATTCCAGGTTACTGCTACAGGGTTCTGAATGTTTATTCCTCACAGGGGATTCCAGATCACTACTTCTGTGTTCTGAAAGTTTGACCCTCACGTAGGATTCTGGAACACTGCCATGATTGTCTGAAAGTTTTTCCCTCACACAGAATTCCAGAACAATGCAACGAGGGGCTGAATGATTGTCTCTCATGTAGGATTTCAGAAGACTGCTGCTGGGGTCTGAATGTTTGTCCCTCACATACGAGTCCAGAACACTGCTGCTGAGGTCTGCATGTATGTCCATCGCATAGAATACCAGAACACTGCTGCGGAGTTCTGAGTCTTTCTCCGTCACATAGAATTCCGGAAAACTGCAATGATGGTCTGAATGTTTGTCCGTAACATAAGATTCCCGAACACTCCCGCTGTTGTTTGTTTGAATGTTTGTTCCTCACATAGGATTCCAGAACACTGCTGCTGGGTTCTGAATGTTTGTCCCTCACATAGGATTCCAGAACACTGCTACGATTGTCTGAATGTCTGTCCATCACATAGGATTCCAGAACACTGCTGCTGGGGTCTAAATCTTTGTCCGTCACATTGGATTCCAGAACACAGCTATGAGGGTCTGAATGTTTCTCCCTCACAGGCGATTCCAGAACACTCCTGCTGTGGTCTGAATGTTTGTCCCTCACATAGGTTTCCAGAGCACTAGTAGGAGTGTCTGATTTTTTGTCCTCCCATAGGATTCCAAAACACTGCTACGAGGTTCTGAATGTTTTTCCCTCACATAGGATTTCAGAACACTGCTGCGAGCATCTGAATTTTTGTTTCTCACATAGGACAAAAGAACACTGGTGCTGGGGTCTGAATGTTTGTTGCTCCCATAGGATTCCAGAACACTCCTGCTGTAGTCTGAATGTTTCTCATTAACAAAAGATTCCAGAACACTCCTGCTGGGATCTCAATATTTGTCCCTCACACAGGATTCAAGGACACTGCTGCTCTGGTCTGAAAGTTTGTCCCTCACATAGGATTCCAGTACACTGCTACGAGGGTCTGAATATTTGTCCCTCACATAGGATTCCAGAACACTGCTGCGATTGTTTGAATGTTTGTCTTTCACGTAGGATTTCAGAACACTGATACAAGAGTCTGAATGTTTGTCCCTCACATCGGATTCCAGAACACTCCTATGATTGTCTGAATGTTTGTCCCTTAGATAGGATTCCAGAACACTGCTACGAGGGTCTGAATGTTTTTCCCTCATATAGGATTCCAAAACACTCCTGCTGTGTTCTGAGTGTTTGTAGACACATCAGATCCAGAACACTACTGTTGTGATCTGAATGTTTCTGCATCACACCAGATTCCAGAACACGCTACGAGGTTCTGAATGACGGTCCCACACATAGGATTCCAGAACACCGCTGCTGGGGTCTAAATGTTTGTCCATCACACAGGATTCAAGAACAGTGCTACGAGGGTCTGAATGTTTCTTCCTCACTGGGGATTCCAGAATAGTCCTGCTGTGGTCTGAATGTTTGTCCCTCACACAGAATTCCAGAACACTGTTACGAGGGTCTGAATGATTGTCCTTCATATAGGATTCCAGAACTCTGCTGCTGGTGCCTGAATGTTTTTCCCTCACATAGGATTCCAGAACGCTGCTGCTGGGGTCTACATGTATGTCCGTCACATAGGAATCCAGAACACTGCTGCTGGGTTCTGTGTGTCTCTCCCTCACATAAATTCCAGAACACTGCGACGAGGGTATGCATGTTTGTCCGAAACGTAGGATGTCAGACGCTCTCGCTGTTTTTTGAATGTTTATCCCTCCCATAGGATTCCAGAACACTCTACGATTGTCTGAATGTCTGACCCTCACATAGGATTCCAGAACACTGCTGGGAGGCTCTGAATTTTTGTCCCTCCCATAGGATTACAGAACACTGCTACGATTGTCTGCATTTTTGTCCCTCACATAGGATTCCAGAACACTGCTACGACTGTCTGCATTTTTGTCCCTCACATAGGATTCCAGAACAATGCTAGGATGATCTGAATATTTGTCCCTCACATAGGATTCCAGAACACTGCTAGGATGATCTGAATATTTGTCCCTCACATAGGATTGCAGAACACTGCTATGAGTGTATGAATGTTTGCCTCTCACATAGGATTCCAGAACACGGCTTTGATTATCTAAATGTTAGTCCCTCACATAGGATTCCTGAACACTCCTGCTGTGGTCTGATAGTTTTTCCCTCACATAGGATTCCAGAACACTGCTACGAGGCTCTGAATGTTTGTCCCTCACATAGGATTCCAAAACACTCCTGCAGTGTTCGAAGTGTTTGTCCCCCACATAGGATTTCAGAACAATCTTGCTGTGGTCTCAGTGTTTGTCCCTCCATAGGATTCCAGAATACAGTTGCTGAGTTCTGAGGGTTTGTCCCTCACATAGGATTCCAGAACACTGCTACGAGGTTCTGAATGTTTGTCTCTCACATAGGATTCCAGAACACTGCTGCTGGGGTCTAAATGTTTGTCCATCACATCGGAATCCAGACCACTTTTATGAGGGTCTAAAAGTTTCTTCCTCACAGGAGATTCCAGAACACTTCTGCAGTGTTCTGAATGTTTGTACCTCACATAGGATTCCAGAACACTGCTGCTGCCATCTAAATGTTTGTCTGTCACATAGGATTCCAGAACACTGCTATGAGGTCTCAATGTTTGTCCCTCACGTAGTATTCCAGAACACTGCTACGAGGGTCTGAATGTTTGTACCTCACAGAGCATTCCAGAACACTGCTATGAGTTTCTGGATGTTTATCCCTCACACAGAATTCCACAATACTGCTACAAGGGTCTGAATGATTGTCCCTCTCATAGGATTCCAGAACACTGCTGCTGGGGTCTGAATGTTTGTACCTCACATAGGATTCCAGAACACTGCTGCTGGGTTCTGGATGTTTGTCCATCATATAGGATTCCACCACACTGCTGCTGGGGTGTAGATTTATGGGCGTCACCTAGATTCCAGAACACTGCTGCAGGTTTCTGAGTGTTTCTCCCTCACATAGAATTCTAGAACACTGCAACTAGGGTCTGAATGTTTGTCCTTAACATAGGATTTCAGAACACTCCCGCTGTTGGTTGAATGTTTCTCCCTCACATAGGATTCCAGAACACTGCTCCTGGGGTCTGAATGTTTGTCCCTCACATAGGATTCTGGAACACTGCTATGATTATCTTAATACATGTCCCTCACAAAGGATTCCAGAACATTCCTACGAGGGTCTGAATGTATGTCCCACACATAGGATTCCAGAACACTGCTGCTGGGGTCTGAATGTTTGTCCCTCACATAGAATACCAGAAAACTGCTACGATTGTCTGAATGTTTGTTCCTCACTGGGGATTCCAGAACACTGCTACTGGGTCTAAATGTTTATCCATCACTTAGGATTCCAGAACACTGCTACGAGGGTCGGAATGTTTGTTCCTCACGGTGGATTCCAGAACACTCCTGCTGTGGTCTGAATGTTTGTCCCTCACACAGGGCTCCAGAACACTTCTACAAGGGTCTGAATGTTTCTCACTCACACAGAATTCCAAAACACTGCAACGAGGGTCTGAATGATCATCCCTCACATAGGAGTCCAGAACAATGCTGCTGGGGTCTACATGTCTGACCGTCACATAGGATTCCAGAACAATGCTGCTGGGGTCTGCATGTCTGTCCGTCACATAGGATTCCAGAACAATGCTGGTGGGTTCTGAATGTTTCTCCCTCACATAGAATTCCAGAACACTCGGACGAGGGTCTGAATATTTGCCTGTAACATAGGATTCCAGAACACTCCCACTGTTGTATGAATGTTTGTCCCTCACATAGGATTCCAGAACGCAGCAGCTGAGGTCTGAATGTTTGTCCCTCACATAGGATTCCAGAATTCTGCTATGATTGTCTGAACGTTTTTCCCTCACATAAAACTCCAGAACACTGCTGCTGGGGTCTGAATGTTTGTCTGTCACATAGGATTCCAGAACACTTTTACTAGTGTCTGAATGTTTGTTCCTCACTGGGGATTCCAGAGCACTCTTCCTGTGGTCTGAATGGTTGTCCTTCACATAGGATTCCAGAACACTGCTACGACGTTCTGAATGCTTGTCCCTCACACAGAATTCCAGAACACTGTTACGAGGGTACGAATGACTGTGCCTCGCATAGAATTCCAGAACACTCCTGCTGAGGTCTAAATGTTTGTCCGTAACATAGGATTACAGAACAATCCTGCTGTGGTCTGAAATTTTGACCCTCACACAGGGTTCCAGAACACTGCTGCTCATTTCTGAGTGTTTGTCCCTCACATAGGATTCAAGAACACTGTGAAGACGGTGTGAATATTTGTCTGTAACATAGGATTATGGAACACTCCCGCTGTTGTTTGAATGTTTATCACTCACATAGGATTCCAGAACACTGCTGCTGGGGTCTGAATGTTTGTCCCTCACATAGGATTCCAGCACACTGCTATGATTATCTCAATGTTTGTCCCTCACATAGGATTCCAGAATACTCCTTTGAGGGTCTGAATGTTTGTCCCTCACATAGGATTCCAGAACACTGCTACGACGTTCTGAATGCTTGTCCCTCACACAGAATTCCAGAACACTGTTACGAGGGTACGAATGACTGTGCCTCGCATAGAATTCCAGAACACTCCTGCTGAGGTCTAAATGTTTGTCCGTAACATAGGATTACAGAACAATCCTGCTGTGGTCTGAAATTTTGACCCTCACACAGGGTTCCAGAACACTGCTGCTCATTTCTGAGTGTTTGTCCCTCACATAGGATTCAAGAACACTGTGAAGACGGTGTGAATATTTGTCTGTAACATAGGATTATGGAACACTCCCGCTGTTGTTTGAATGTTTATCACTCACATAGGATTCCAGAACACTGCTGCTGGGGTCTGAATGTTTGTCCCTCACATAGGATTCCAGCACACTGCTATGATTATCTCAATGTTTGTCCCTCACATAGGATTCCAGAATACTCCTTTGAGGGTCTGAATGTTTGTCCCTCACATAGGATTCCAGAACACTGCTACAAAACTCTGAATGCTTTTCCCTCACATAGGATTCCAGAACACTGCTAACTAGGGTTTGAATGTATGTCCCTCCCATAGGATTCCAGAACACTCCTGCTGTGGTCTGAATGCTTGTCCCTCACATACGATTCCAGAACACTACTACGAGGGTCTGAATTTTTGTCACTCACATAGGATTCCAAAACATTCCTGTTATTTTCTTAGTGTTTGTCCCTCACATATCATTCCAGAACAATCCCGCTGTGGTCTGAATGTTTGTCCCTCACATAGGATTCCACAAAACTGCTACAAGATTCTGAATGGTTTTCCTCACTGAGGATTCCAGAACACTGCTCCTGGGGTATAAATATTTGGCCGTCACATAGGATTCCAGAACACTACTACGAGGGTCTGTATGTTTGTTCCTCACAGGGGATTCCAGAACACTAATGCTGTGGTCTGAATGTTCGTTCCTAACACAGGATTCTGGTACACTGCTATGAGGGTCAGAATGTTTGTCCCTCACATTGGATTCCAGAACAATGCTACCAATGTCTGAATGTTTGTCCCTCACATAGAATTCCAGATCACTGCTATGAGGGTCTGAATGTTTGTCCCTCACATAGGATTCCAGAACACTCCTGCTATGGTCTGTATATTTGTCCCTCACATATGATTCCAGAACACTGCTACGAGAGTCTAAACGTTTGTCCCTCACACAGGATTTCAAAACCTTTCTGCTGGGTTCGGAGTGTTGGTCCCTCACATAGGTTTCCAGAACAATCCTGGCATGGTCTGAATGTTTATCCCTCACATAGGGTTCCAGAACACTGCTGCTGGTTTCAGTGTGTTTGTCGCTCATGTAGGATTCCAGAACACTGCTATGAGGGTCTGAATGTTTCTACCTCACATAGGATTCCAGAACACTGCTGCTGGGGTCTAAATGTTTGTCTGTCACATAGGATGATTTCACATAGGATTACAGAACACTGCTAAGAGGGTCTGAATGTTTGTTCCTCACAGATGATTCCAGAACACTCTTTCTGTTGTCTGAATGTTTGTTCCTCACAGATGATTCCAGAACACTCCTGCTGTTGTCTGAATGTTTGTCAATCACATAGGATTCCAGAACACTGCTATGAGGCTCTGAATGTTTGTTCCTCACACAGAATTCCAGAATACTGCTACCAGGGTCTGAATGATTATCCCTATTCTAGGATTCCAGAACACTGTTGCTAGGGTCTGAATGTTTGTCTGTCTCATAGGATTCCAGAATAATGCTGCTGGGGTCTACATGTGTGTCCATCCCATAGGATTCCAGAACAGTGCTGCTGGTTTCTAAATGTTTCTCCCTCACATAGAATTCCAGAACACTGCGACAAGGGTCTGATATTTGTCCATAACATAGGATTACAGAACACTCCCACAGTTGTTTGAATGTTTGTCCCTCACATAGGAATCCAGAACACTGCTAATGGGGACTGAATGTTTGTCCCTCACGCAGGATTCCAGAACAATGTTACGATTATATTAATATTTGTCCATAACATAGGATTACAGAACACTCCCGCAGTTGTTTGAATGTTTGTCCCTCTCAAAGGATTCCAGAACACTGCTACGCGGGTCTGAATGTTTGTCCGTAACATATGATTCAAGGACACTCCCGCTGTTGTTTGAATGTTTGTCCCTCACATAGGATTCCAGAACACTGCTGCTGTGGTCTAAATGTTGGTCCCTCACATAGGATTACAGAACACTGCCACGAGGGTCTGAATATTTGTTCCTCACAGGGGATTCGAGAACACTCCTGCTGTGGTCTGAATGTTTGTCAATCACATAGGATTCCAGAACACTCCTATGAGGCTCTGAATGTTTGTCCCTCACACAGAATTGCAGAACACTGCAGCCAGGATCTTAATGATTATCCCTACTCTAGGATTCCAGAACACTGCTGCTGGGGTCTGAATGTTTGTCCGTCTCACAGGATTCCAGAACAATGCTGCTGGGGTCTACATGTGTGTCCATCCCATAAGATTCCAGAACACTGCAGCTGGTTTCTAAGTGTTTCTCCCTCACATAGGATTCCAGAACACTGCGATGAGGGTCTGAATGTTTGTCCGTAACATAGGATTACAGAACACTCCCGCTGTTGTGGGAATGTTTGTCCCTCACATAGGAATCCAGAACACTGCTAATGGGGACTGAATGTTTGTCCCTCACACAGGATTCCAGTACAATGTTACGATTTTCTTAATATTTGTCCCTCACATAGGATTCCAGAACAAACCTGGAGGGTCTGAATGTTTGTCCCTCTCATAGGATTCCAGAACACTGCTACGAGGGTCTGAGTGTTTGTCCATAACATATGATTCAAGAGCACTCCCGCTGTTGTTTGAATGTTTGCCCCTCACATAGGATTCCAGAACACTGCTACGATTGTCTGAGTTTCTTCCTCACCTAGAATTCCAGACCACTGAGATGAGGGTCAGAATTTTTGTCCCTCAATAGGATTCCAGAATGCTGCTGCTAGGGTCTGAATGTTTGTCCCTCACTTAGGATTCCAGAACACTGCTGCTGGGGTCTACATTTATGTCCGAAACATAGGATTCCAGAACACTGCTGCTGGTTTCTGAGTGTTTCTCACTCACAAACAATTCCAGAACACTGCGACGAGGGTTTGAATGTTTGTCCGTAACATAGGATTCAAAAACACTCAAGTATTTATTTGAATGTTTGTCCCTCACATAGGATTCCAGAACACTGCTACGAGGGTGTGAATGTTTGTCCCTCACTTAGGATTCCAGAACACTCCTGCTGTGGACTGAATGTTTGTCCCTCAGAAAGAAAGCCAGAACAGTGCTACCAGGGTCTGAATATTTGTCCCTCACATAGGATTCAAGGACCCTGCTGCTGGGGCCTAAATGTTTGTCCTTCAAATAGGATTCCAGAACACTACTACGAGAGTCTGAATGTTTGTTCCTCACAGGGGATTCCAGAACACTTCTGCTGTGGTCTGAATGTTTGTCACTCACATGGGATTCCACATCACTGCTATGAATGTCTGAATGTTTGTCCCTCACAAAGAATTCCAGAACACTGCTACGAGGGTCTTTATGACTGTCCATCACATAGGATACCAGAACACTGCAGCTGGGGTCTGAATGTTTGTCCCTCACACAGGATTCCAGAACACTGCTGCTGGGGTCTGAATGTTTGTCTGTCACAAAGGATTCCAGAGCACTGCTGCTATGGTCTACATGTATGTCCTTCACATAGGATTCCAGAACACTGCTGCTGGGTTCTGAGTGTTTCTCCCTCACATAGAATTCCAGAACACTGCGACGAGGGTCTGAATGCTTGTCCGTGACATAAGATTCCAGAACACTCCCGAGGATGTTTGAATATTTTTCACTCATATAATATTCCAGAACACTGCTATGACGTTCTGAAATATTGTCCCTCACATGAGATTCTATAATACTGCTGCTGGGGTCTAAATGTTTGTCCGTCAGATAATATTCCAGACACTGCTAGGAGGTTCAAAATGTTTGTTCCTCACAGGGGATTCCAATACACTCTTGTTGTGGCCTGAATTTTTGTCCCTCACACAGGACTCCAGAACATTGCTACGAGTGTCTGAATGTTTGTCCCTCACATGGGATTCCAGAACACTGCTGCTGTGGTCTAAATGTGTGTCAGTCACATAGGATTACAGAACACACCTACGAGGGTCTGAATGTTTGTTCCCCACAAGGGATTCCAGAAGAGTCCTGCAGTGGTCAAAATGTTTGTCCCTGACACAGGATTCTGGAACACTGCTGAAAGTGTCTGAATGGTTGTCCCTCAAATAGGATTCCAGAACACTGCTGCTGGGGTCTGAAACTTTGTCACTAACATTGGATTCCAGAACACTGCTACGATTGTCTGAATGTTTGTCTCTCACATAGGATTCCAGAACACTCTTACGAGGGTCTGCATGTTTGTCCCTCACATGGGATTCCAGAACACTGCTACGATTGTCTGAATGTTTGTACCTCACATAGGATTCCAGAACACTGCTACGAGGTTTTGAAATTTTGTCCCACACACAGGATTGCAGAACACAGCTATGAGGGTCTAAAAGTTTGTTTCTCAAAGGGAATTCCAAAACAGTCCTGCTGTGGTCTGAATGTTTGTCCCTCACATAGGATTCCAGAACACTGCTATCAGGGTCTGAATGTTTATCCCTCACTCAGGATTCCAGAACACTGTTGTGAAGGTCAGATTGTTTATCCCTCACATAGTATTCTAAAACACTCCTGCTATGTTTTGAGTGTTTGTCACTCACATAGGATTCCAGAACACTGCTGCTGGGTTCTAAATATTTGTCCATCAGATAAGATTCCAGTACACTGCTATGAGGGTCGGAATGTTTGTTCCTCACAGGGGATTCCAGAACACTCTTGCTGTGGTCGGAATGTTTTTCCCTCACACAGGATTGCAGAACACTGTTACGACGGTCTGAATGTTTGCCCCTCACACAGAATTCCAAAACACGGCTATGATGGTCTGAATGATTGTCCCTCACATGGGATTCCAGAACACTGCTGCTGGAGTCTGAATGTTTGTCCCTCACATAGGATTCCAGAACACTGCCGCTGGGTTCCGAGTTTTTGTCCCTCACAGGGAATTCCAGAACACTGCCGCTGGGTTCCGAGTTTTTGTCCCTCACAGGGAATTCCAGAACACTGCAACGATGGTCTCAATGTTTGTCTGTAACATAGGGTTCCAGAACAATCTCTCTGTTTTTTGAATGTTTGTCCCTCACATAGGATTCCAGAACCCTGCTACGATTGTCTGAATGTTTGTCCGTAACATAGGGTTCCAGAACACTCTCTCTGTTTTTTGAATGTTTGTCCCTCACATAGGATTCCAGAACCCTGCTACAATTGTCTGAATGTTTGTCCCTCACATAGGATCCCAGAACACTGCCACGATTGTCTCAATGCTTGTCCCTCACGTAGGATTCCAGAACACTGCTACGACAGTCTAAATGTTTGTCCCTCACATAGGATTCCTGAACACTGCTATGATTGAATGTTTGCCCCCACATAGGATTCCAGAATACTGCTACGAGGGTCTGAAAGTTTGTCTCTCATATAGGATTCCAGAACACTGCTAAGATTTTTTGAATGCTTGTCACTCACGTGGGATTCCAGAACACTCGCGCTGGGGTCTGAATGTTTATCCCTCACACAAAATTCCAGAACACTGCCACGAGGGTCGGAATGATTGTCCCTCACATAGGGTTCCAGAACACTGCTGCTGGAGTCTACAAGTAGGTCTGTCACATAGGGTTCCAGAACACTGCTACAGGAATCGGAGTGTTTCTCCCTCACATAGAATTCAAGAACACTGCGAGGAGGGTCTGAATGTTTTTCCTTGTCATAGGATTCCAGAACACACCTGCAGTTGTTTGAATGTTTTTCCCTCACATAGGATTCCAGAACACACCTGCAGTTGTTTGAATGTTTTTCCCTCACATAGGATTCCAGAATACTGCTGCTGTGGTCTGAATGTTTGTCCCTCACACAGAATTCCAGAACACTGCTACGACGTTCTGAATGATTTACCCTCACATACGATTCCCGAAGACTGTTCCTGGGGTCTGAATGTTTGTCCCTCACATAGGCCTTCAGAACACTGCTGCTGGGTTCTACATGTATGTCCGTCACATAGGATTCCAGAACACTGCTAAGAGGATCCGAATGTTTGTCCCTCACATACGATTCCAAAACACTCCTGCTATGTTCTGAGTGTTTGTCCCTCACATAGTATTCCAGAACAATCCTGCTGTGGTGTGAATGTTTGTCCCTCACATAGGGTTCCAGAACACTGTTGCTGGGTTTTGAGTGTTTCTCCCTCACATAGGAATCCAGAACACTGCTACAAGGGTCTGAATGCTTGTCCCTCACATGGGATTCCAGAACACTGCAGTTGCAGTTGGGGTCTTAATGTTTGTCCGTTACATAGGATTCCAGAACACTGCTAAGAGGATCCGAATGTTTGTCCCTCATATAGGATTCCAGAACACCGCAACTAGGTTCTGAATGATTTACCCTCACATAGGATTCCAGATCACTGCTAAGAGGATCCGAATGTTTGTCCCTCATAGGATTCCAGAACACTGCTACTAGGATCTGAATATTTGTTACTCACAGGGGATTGCAGAACACTCCAGCTGTGGTCTGAATGTTTGTCCCTCAAATAGGATTCCAGAACACTGCTATGAGTGTCTGAATGTTTTTCCATCACACAGAATTACAGGACACTGCTGTTACCGTCTACATGTATGTCTGTCACATAGGATTTAAGAACATTGCTGCCGGTTTCTGAGTGTTTCACCCTCACATAGAATTCCAGGTCACTGAGACGAATTTCTGAATGTATGTCCGTAACTTAGGATTCCAGAACACTCACTCTGTTGTTGGAATGTTTGTCCCTCACATACGATTCCAGAACACTCCTGTTGTAGTCTGAATGTTTCTCCCTCACATAGGATTCGAGAACACAGCTACGATTGTCTCAATGTTTGTCCCTCACATAGGATTCCAGAAAAATGCTACAAGGGTCTGAATATTTGTCACTTACATAGGATTCCAGAACACTGCTACAAGTGTCTGTATGTTTGCCCCTCACATAGGATTCCAGAACACTGCTACGATTGTCTGAATGATTGTCCCTCCCATAGGATTCCAGAACACTCCTGCTGGGGTCTGAATGATTTTCCCTCACATAGGATTCCAGAATACTGCTGCTGGGTTCTCACTGTTTCTACCTCACATAGAATTCCAGAGCACTGAGACGAGGTTCTGAATATTTGTCCATAACCAGGGATTGCAGAACACTCCCGATCTTGGTTCAATGTTTCTCCCTCACATAGGATTACAAAACACTGCTGCTGGGGTCTGAATTTATTTCCCTTTCTTGAGATTCCAGAACATGGCTACGATTTTCTGAATGTTTGTCCCTCACATAGGATTCCAGAACACTGCTATGAGGGTCTGAATGTTTCTCCCTCATATTGGATTCCAAAACACTCCCGCTGTGTTTGAGTGTTTGTCCCTCACGTAGGATTCCAGAACAATCCTGCTGTGGCCTGAATGTTTGTCCCTCACATAGGGTTCCAGGACACTGTTGCTGGGTTCTGAGTTCTTTTCCCTCACACAGGATTCCTGTACACTGCAACGAGTGTCTGAATGTTTGTCTCTCACAGGATTACAGAACACTGCTTCTGAGGTCTAAATGTTTGTCCATCACATAGGATTCCAGAACACTGCTATGAGGTTCTGAATGTTTGTTCCTCACAGTGGATTCCAGAAGACTCTTGCTGTGGTCTGAATGTTTGTCCCTCACAAAGGATTCCAGAACACTGCTCTGATGGTCTGAATCTTTGTCCTTCACACAGAATTCGAGAACACTGCTACGACGGTCTGAATGCTTGTCCCTCACATAGGGTTCTAGAACACTGCTGCTGTGGTCTGAATGTATGTCCCTCATGTAGGATTCGAGAACACTGCTGCTGGGTTCTGATTGTTTCTCCCTCAAATAGAATTCCAGAGCACTGCGGAGAGGATCTGAATTTTTGTCCATAACTTAGGATTCCAGAACACAGCCTCTGTAGTTTGAATGTTTGTCCCTCATATAGGATTCCAGAACACTGCTGATGGGGTCTGAAAGTTAGTCCCTCACATAAGATTCCAAAACACTGCTACGATTGTCTGAATGTTTTCCCTCACATAGGATTCCAGGGCACTCCTGCCGTGTTATGAATGTTTGTCCCTCACATAGTATTCCAGAACACTGCTGCTCGGGTCTACATGTATGTCCGTCACATAGGATTCCAGTACACTGTTGCTGGGTTCTGAGTGTTTCTCCCTCACATAGAATTCCAGAACACTGTGACGAGGGTCTGAATGTTTGTCCATAACATAGGATTCCAGAACACTCCCACTGTTGTATCAATGTTTATAGCTCACATAGGATTCTGGAACACTGCTGCTGGGGTCTGAATGTTTGTCCCTCGCAAAGAATTCCCGTACACTGCTAAGATTGTATGAATGTTTGTCTCCCACATAGGATTCCAGAACACTGCTACGAGTGTCTGAAAGTTTTTCCCTCACATAGGATTCCAAAACACTCCTGCTATGTTCTGAGTGTCCCTCACATAGGACTCCAGCATAATCCTGCTGTGGCCTGAATGATTGACCCTCACATAGGGTTCCAAAACACTGCTGTTGGGTTCTGAGTGTTTGTCTCTCACATAGGATTCCAGAACACTACTACCAGGGTCTGAATGTTTGTTCCTCACACAGTATTCCAGAAAACTGCTTCTGGGGACTTAATGTTTGTCCGTCACATAGGATTCCAGAACACTGATATGAGGCTCTGAATGTTTGTTCCTCACCGGGGATTCCAGAACACTGCTATGAGGGTCTGAATGTTTGTCCCACACAGAGAATTCCAGAACACTGCTATGAGGGTCTGAATGACTATCCTTCACATAGGATTCCAGAATACTACGGCTGCTGTCTGAATATTTGTCCCTCACATAGGATTCCAGAACACTGCTGCTGGGGTCTACATGTATGTCTGTCACATAGGGTTCCAGAACACTGCTGCTGGGTTCAGAGTGTTTCTCCCTCAGTTAGAATTCCAGAACACTGCGACGAGGATCTGAATGTTTCTCTGTAACAGAGGATTCCAGAACACTCTTGCTGTTGTTTGAATGTTTGTCCCCCACATAGGATTCGAAAACACTGCTGCTGGGGTCTGTATGTTTGTCCGTCACATAGGTTCCTGAACACTACTACGATTGTTTCAATGTTTGTCCCTCATATAGGATTATAGAACACTGCACTGAGTGTCTGAATGTTTGTCCCTCACTTGAGGTTCCAGAGCACTGCTGCTGGGCTCTAAATGTTGGTCCGTCACATAGGATTCCAGAACTATGCTACGAGGGTCCGGATATTTGTTCCTCCCATTGGATTCCAGAACAATCCTGCTCTAGTCCGAATGTTTGTCCTTCATATAGGCTTCCAGAACGCTGCTATGGGGGTCTGAAGCTTCCTCCCTCACAAACATCTCCAGAACACTGCTACAAGGGTCTGAATGATTGACCCTCACAGAGGATTCCAGAACACTGCTTTTGAGATCTGAATGTTTGTCTTCACATATGATTCAAGAACACTGCTGCTGGCGTCTACATGTATGTCCATCACATAGGATTCCAGAACACTCCTGTTGGTTTCTGAGTGTTTCTCTCTAACACAGAATTCCAGAACACTGCGACGAGGTTCTGAAAGTCTGTCTGTTACATAGGATTCGACAACACTCCCGCTGTTGTTTGAATGTTTGTTCCTCACATAGGATTCCAGAACGCTGCTGGGGTCTGAATATTTGTCCCTCACATAGGATTCCAGAACATGGCTAAGATTATCTGAATGTTTGTCCCTCACATGTGATTCGAGAACAAAGCTACGAGTGTCTGAATGTTTTTTCCTCACGTAGGATTCAAGAGCACTGCTGCTGGGGTCTAAAGGTTCGTCCCTCACATAGGATTCCAGAACACTGCTACGAGGGTCTGAATGTTTTTTCCTCACAGAGGATTCCAGAACAATCCTCCTGTGGTCTGAATGTTTGTCCCTCACGTAGGATTCCAGAACACGGCTTTGAGGATCTCAATATATGGCTCTTACACAGAATTCCACAACGCAGCTACGAACGTCTGAATGAATGTCCCTCACATAGGATTCCGGAACACTGCTACGGTTGTCTGAATGTTTGTCCCTCACTTAGGATTCCAGAACACTGCTACGAAGGTCTGAATATTAGTCCCTCACATAGGATTCCAGAGCAATCCTGCTGTGGTCTGAATGTTTCTCACTCACATAGTGTTCCAGAATGCTGTCGCTGGGTTCTAAATGTCTGTCCCTCACAAAGGATTCCATAACACTGCTACAAGGGTCTGAATGATTGTCCCGCAATTAGGATTCCAGAACACTGCTGCTGGCGTCTAAATGTTTGTCCGTCACACAGGATTCCAGAACAGTGCTAGGAGGATCTGAATGTTTGTTCCTCACAGGTGATTCCAGAACACTCCTGCTGTGGGTCTGAATGTTTTTCTCTCACACATGATTGCAGAACAGTGGTAAGAGAGTCTGAAAGTTTGTACCTCACACAGAATACCAGAACACTGCTACGAGGTCCTGAATCATTGTCCTCACATAGGATTCCAGAACACTGCTCCTGGGGTCTGAATGTTTCTCCCTCACATGAGATTCGAGGACACTGCTGCTGGGGTCTACATGTATGTCCGTCAGATAGGATTCCAGAGCACTCCTGCTGGGTTCTGAGTGTTTCTCCCTCACATAGAATTCCAAACACTGCGAGGAAGGTCTGAATGTTTGTCCGTCACATAGGATTCGTGAACACTCACACTGTTGTTTGAATGTTTGTCTCACACATAGGATTCCAGAACACTGCTCCTGGTGTCTGAATCACATAGGATTCCAGAATAATCCTATGAGGGTCTGAATATATGTTCCTCATATAGGATTCCAGAATAACCCTACGAGGGTCTGAATATGTTTTTCCTCACATAGGATTCCAGAACACTGCTGCTGGTGTCTAAATGTTTGTCTACTTGTTAGGATTCCAGAACACTCTCGCTGTTGTTTGAATGTTTGTCCTTCACATAGGATTCCAGCACACTGCTGCTGGGATCTCAATGTTTGTCCCTCACATAGGATTCCAGAACACTGCTACGATATTCTGAAAGTTTGTTCCTCACAGAGGATTCCACAACACTGCTGCTGTGGTCTGAAAGTTTGTCTCTTGCATTGGATTCCAGAACACTGCTATGAGTGTCTGAATGTTTGTCTGACACATAGGATTCCAAAACACTCCTGCTCTGTTCTGAGTGTTTGTCCCTCACATAGGACTCCAGTATAATCCTGCTGTGGTCTGAATCTTTGTCCCTCACATAGCGTTCCAGAACAGTGCTGCTGGGTTCTGAGTGTTTGTTCCTACATAGGACTCCGGAACACTGCTTCTAGCGTCTGAATGTTTTTTGCTCACACGGGATTCCAGAACACTGCTGATGGGGTCTAAATGTTTGTCCATCACATAGGATTCCAGAACACTGCTACGAGGGTATGAATGTTTTTCCTCACAGGGGATTCCAGAACACGCCTACTGTTGTCTGAATGTTTCTCCCTCACATAGCTTTCCAGAACACTGCTATGAGTGTCTGAATGTTTGTCTCTCACACAAAATTCCAGAACACTCTTACGAGGGTCTGAATGATTGTCCCTGACTTGGGATTCCACAATAATGCTGTTGCGGTCTGAATGCTTGTCCCTCACATAGGATTCCCGAACACAGCTGCTGAGGTCTACATGTGTGTCTGTCATAGAGGATTCCAGAACACTGCTTCTGGGTTCAGAGTGTTTCTGCCTCACACAGAATTCCAGAAAACTGCGACGAGGTTCTGAATGTTTGTCCCTCACATGGGATTCCAGAATAACTCTACTAAGGTCTGAATGTTTGTGCCTCTCATAGGATTCCACAACACTGCTGCTGGTTTCTAAATGTTTGTCCATTACCTAGGATTGCAGAACACTCTCGCTGTTGTATGAATGTTTGTCTCTCACATAGGATTCCAGAACATTGGTGCTGAGTTCTGAATGTTTGTCTCTCACATAAGATTCCAGAACATTGGTGCTGAGTTCTGAATGTTTGTCTCTCACATAAGATTCCAGACCACTGCTGTGATTTTCTGAAAGTTTGTCCCTCACATAGGATTCCGCAGCACTGCAAAGAGGGTCTGAATGTTTTGTCCCTCACATAGGATTCCAATACTCTCCCGCTGTTTTCTGTTTTTCCCACACATGGGATCCCAAAGCAATCCTGCTGTGGTCTGAATGTTTGTCCCTCACATCGGGTTCCAGAACACTGGTGCTGGTTTCTGAGTGTTTGCCCCTCAGATAGGATTCCAGAACTCTGCTACGAAAGTCTGAATGTTTGTCCCTCACACAGGATTCCAGAACACTTTTGCTGGGGTCTAAATGTTTGTCCCTCACATAGGATTCCAGAACACTGCTGCTAGGGTCTGAATGTTTTTTCCATACAGGGGATTCCAGAATACTCCTGCTGTGTTCGGAATGACTATCCCTCACACAGGATTCCAGTACACTGCCACGATGGTCTGAATGTTTGCCCCTCACGCAGAATTCCAGAACACTACTACGAGAGTCTGAATGATGGTCCCTCACAGAGGATTCCAGAACACTGCTGCTGGAGTCTGAATGTTTGTCCGTCACATAGGATTCCGGAACACCGCTGCTGGGGTCTATGTGTATGTCCGTCACACAGGATTCCAGAACACAGCTGCTGGGTTCTGTGTGTTTCCCCCTCACTTGAATTCCAGAGCACTGTGACAAGGGTCTGAATGTTTGTCAATAACATACTATTTCAGAACACTCCCGCTGTTGTTTGAATGTTTTTCCCTCACATAGGATTCCAGAACACTGCTACTGGGGTCTGAATGTTTTTCCCTAGCATAGGATTCCAGAACACTGCTACGATTGTCTGAATGTTTGTCCCTCACTTAGGATTCCAGAACACTGCTACGAGTGCCTGAATGTTTCTCCATCACATAGCATTCCAAAACAATCCTGCTGTGTTCTCAGTGTTTGTCCCTCACATATGGTTCCAGAACACGGCTGCTGGGTTCTGAGTGTTTGTCCCTTTATAGGATTCTAGAACACTGCTCCGAGGGTGTGAATGTTTGTCCCTCACACAGGATTCCAGAACACTGCTGCTGGGGTCTAAATGTTTGTCTGTCATATAGGATTCCAGAACACTGCTACGAGGGTCTGAATGTTTCTTCCTCACAGAGGATTCCAGAACATGCCTGCTGTGGTCTGAATGTTTGTCCCTCACATAGGTTTCCAGAACACTGCTATGAGGGTCTGAATGTTTGTCCATCACACGGAATTCCAGAACACAGCTACGAGGGTCTGAGTGATTGTCCCTCACACAGGATTCCAGAACACTGCTGCTGCCGTCTGAAAGTTTGTCCCTCACATAGGATCCCAGAGCACTGCTACTGATGTCTGCATGTATGTCTGTCGCTAAGGATTCCAGAACACTGCTGGTGGGTTCTGAGTGTTTCTCCCTCACATGTAATTCAAGAAGACTGCGACGAGGATCTGAATGTTTGCCCGTAACAAAGGATTCCAGAACATTCCCGCTGTGATTTTAATGTTCGTCCCTCACATAGGATTCCAGAACAATGCTGCTGGGGTCTAAATATTTGTCCGTCACAAAGGATTCTAGAACACTGCTATGATTGTCTCAATGTTTTTCTCTCACATAAGATTCTAGAACACTATACTGAGGGTCCTAATGTTTGTCCTTCCCACAGGATTCCAGAACACTGCTCCTGTTGTCTAAATATTTGTCCTTTACCTAGGATTGCAAAACACTCCCTCTGTTGTTTGAATGTTTGTCCCTCACATTGGATTCCAGAACACTGCTGCTGGGTTCTGAATGTTTGTCCCTCACCTAGGATACCAGACCACTGCAACGATTTTCTGAAAGTTTGTCCCTCACATAGGATTCCAGAACATTGCTGCTGCAGTCCAAATGTTTGTCCGTCACATAGGATTCCAGAACATTGCTGCGAGGGTCTGAATGTTTGTTCCTCACATAGGATTTGAGAACACTTAGTGTTCCAGAACACTCCTGCTGTGGTCTGAATGTTTGTCCCACAGATAGGCTTCCATAACACTGCTATGAAGTAATTAAGGTTTCTCCATCACACAGAATTCCGGAACACTGCTACGTGGGTCTGAACGATTGTCCCTTATGCAGAACTCCAGAACACAGCTATGAGAGTCTGAATGATTGTCCCTCAAATAGGATTAAAGAACACTGCTGCTGGGGTCTGAATGTTTGTCCCACACATCGGATTCCAGAACACTGCTGCTGTATTCTCAGTGTTTTTCCCTCACATAGAATACCAGAACACTGCTACGATGGTCTGAATGTTTGTCCGTAACATAGGATTCCAGAACAATCCCGCTGTTGTTTGAATGTTTGAACCCCACATAGGATTCCAGAACAATGCTGCTGGGGTCTGAATGTTTGTCCCTCACATAAGACTCCAGAACAATGCTACGATTGTCTGAATGTTTGTCCCTCACATAGGATTCCTGAACAGTGCTACTAGGGTCTGAATGTTTGTCCCTCAGATAGGATTCCAAAACACTACTGATGTGTTCTGGGTGATTGTCCCCCACATAGGGTTCCAGAACAACCCTGCTGTCGTCTGAATATCTGTCCCTCAAATAGGGTTACAGAACACTGCTAGGAGGGGCTGAATGTTTGTTCCTCACAGGGGATTCCAGAACTCTCCTGCCATCATCTGAATAATAGTACCTCACACAGGATTGCAGAACACTGCTACGAGGGTCTGAATGTTTGCCCCTCACACAAAATTCCAGAACACTGCTTCGAGGGTCTGAATGATGGTGCCTCACATAGGATTCCAGAACACTGCTGCTGGGTTCTGAATGTTTGTCCCTCACAAAGGATTGCAGGACAATGCTGCTGGGGACTGAATGTTTGCCCCAATATAGGATTCCACAACTCTACTGCTCTGGTCTAAATGTATGTCCGTCACATCAGATTCCAGAACAATACTGCTGGTTTCTCAGTGTTTCTCCATCACATAGAATTCCAGATCACCGCGAGGAGTCTCTGAATGTTTGTCCATAACATTGGATTCCAGAACACTGCTGCTGGGTTCCGAATGTTTGTCCCTCACCGAGGATTCCAGAACACTGCTACGATTGTCTGAATGTTTGTCTCTCATATAAGATTCCAGACCACTCCTAAGAGGGTCTGAATGTGTGTCCCTCACATAGATTTCCAGGACACTACTACTATTGTCTGAATATTTGTCCCACACTTAGGATTCCAGAACACTGCTACGAGGGTCTGAATGATTGTATCTCATACAGAATTCCAGAACACTGCTACGAGGATCTGAATGATTGTCCCTCACATAGGATTCGAGAACACTGTGACGAGGTGCTGAATGTTTGTCTCTCACATAGGATCCCAGAACACTGCTGCTGGGGTCTATATGTGTGTCCGTCACATAGGATTCCAAAACCCTGCTACTGTGTTCTGGCTGTTTCTCCCTGACATAGAATTCCAGAACACTGCGACGAGGTTCTGAATGTTTGTCCGTAACATAGGATTCCAGAAAACTCCCCCCCCGTGATTTATATGTTTGTCCCTCACATTGGATTCCAGAACACTGCTGCTGGGTTCCGAATGTTTGTCCTTCACGGAGGACTCCAGAACACTGCTACAATTGTCTGAATGTTTGTCCCTCACATAAGATTCCAGAACACTGCTGCTGTGGTCTGCATGTATGTTCATCACATAGGATTCCAGAAAACTGCTGCTGGGCTCTGAATGTTTCTCTCTCAAATAGAATTCCAGAACACTGCCACAAGGTTCTGAATGTGTGTCCATAACATAGGATTCCAGAACACTTCCACTGTTGTTCGAAGGTTTGTCGATCACATAGGATTCCAGAACACTGCTACAATTGTCTGCATGTTTGTCCCTCACATAGGATTCCAGGACACTACTACGAGGGTCTCAAAGTTTGTCCCTCACATAGGATTCCACAACACTCCTGCTGTGTTCTGAGTGTTTGCTCCTCACATAGGATTCCAGAACAATCCTTCTGTGTTCTGAATATTTGTCTCTCTCTTAGGATTCCAGAACACTGCTTCGATTGTCTGAATGTTTGTCCCTCCCACAGGATTCCAATACACTGCTATGATGGTCTGTATGTTTTTCCCTCACGTAGGATTCCAGAACACTGCTGCTGGGGTCTAAATGTTTGTTCATCACATAGGATTCCAGAACACAGCTATGAGAGTGGAAATGCTTGTACCTCACATGAGATTCCAGAACACTCCTGCTGTGGTCTTAAAGCAAGTCCCTCACATAGATTCCAGAACATTCCTACAAGGGTCTGAATGTTTGTCACTAACATAGGATTTCAGAACACCGCTGCTGGGGTCTAAATGTTTGTCCGTCACATAGAATTCCAGAACACTGCTATGAAGGTCTGAACGTTTGTTCCTCACTGGGGATTCCAGAACAATCCTGCTGTGGTCTGAATGTTTGTCCTTCACACAGGATTCCAGAACACTGCTACGAGCATACGAATGATTGTCTGCAACATAGTATTCCAAAACACTGTTACGAGTGTCTGAATGTTTGTCCCTCACATAGTATTCCAGAACACTGCTAAGATTGTCTGAATGTTTGTCACTCACGTAGGATTCCAGAACCCTGCTATGAGTGTCAGAATGTTTGTCCCTCACATAGGATTCCAAAACACGCCTGCTGTGCTCTGAGTGTCAGTCCTTCATGTAGGATTCCAGAACAATCCTGCTGTGTTCTGAATGGTTGCCCCTCACATATAGTTACAGAACACTGCTGCTCGGTTCTGAGTGTTTGTCCATCACATGGGATTCCAGAACACAGCTGTGAGGGTCTGATTGTTTTTCCCTTACAAAGGATTGCAGAACACTGCTGCTGGAGTCTAAAAGTTTCTCCGTCACACACTATTCCAGAGCACTCCTATGAGGGTTTGAATGTTTGTCCCTCATTTAGGATTCCACAACACTTCTGCTGGGGTGTGAATGTTTGTCCCTCACACAAAATTGTAGAACACTGCTATGACGATCTGAAAGATTGTCCCTCATTTAGGATTCCAGAACACTCCTGCTGTTTTCTGAGTGTTTGTCCCTCATTTAGGATTCCAGAACACTCCTGCTGTTTTCTGAGTGTTTGTCCCTCACATAGGATTCCAAAACTATCCTCCTGTCGTCGGAATATTTATCTCTCACATAGGGTTTCAGAACACTGCTGCAGGGTTCTGAGTGTTTGTCCCTCACATAGGATTCCAGAACACTGCTGCTGGGGTCTAGATTTTTGTCCGTCACACCGGATTCCAGAACCCTCCTATGAGGGTCTGAATGTCTGTTCCTCACAGGGGATTCTGGAACACTCCTGCTGTGGTCTCAATGTTTTTCCCTCACACAGGACTACAGAACACTGCTACGGGCATCAGAATGTTTGTCCCTCACACAGAATTCCAGAACACTGGTACGAGTGTCTGAATGACTTTCCTTCACATAGGATTCCAGAACACTGTTGCTGGGGTCGTAATGTTTGTCTCTCACATAGGATTCTAGAATAGAGCTGCTGGGGTCTACAGGTATGTCCGTCGCATAGGATTCCAGAACACTGATGTTGGGTTCTGAGTGTTTCTCCCTCACATAGAATTCCAGAACACCGCTACGAGGGTCAGAATGTTTGTCCATAACATAGGATTCCTGAACAATCCCGCTGTTGTTTGAATGTTTGTCCCTCACATAGGATTCCGGAACACTGCTACAATTGTCTGAATGTTTGTCCCTCACATAATATTCCAGAACAATGCTACGACTGTCTGAACGTTTGTTCCTCACAGGGGATTACAGAACACTGCTACGATTGTCTGAATGCTTGTCCCTCACATAGGATTCCAGAACAATGCTATGATTGTCTGAATGTTTGTCCATCACATACCATTCCAGAACACTGCTATGAAGGTCTGAATGTTTGTCCCTCACATGGGATTCCAGAACACTGCTACGATTGTCTGAATGCTTGTCCCTCACATAGGATTCCAGAACAATCCTGCTGTTGTCTGAATGTTTGTCCCTCACGTTGGATTCCAGAACACTGCTACCAGTGTCTGAATGTTTGTCCCTCACACGGGATTCCAGAACACTGCAATGACAGCTTGAATACTTGTCCCTCACACAGAATTCCAGAGCACTGCTATGGGGTTCTGAATGATTCTCCAACACATAGGATTACAGAACACTGTTGTTGGGGTCTGAATGTTTGTCCCTCACACAGGATTCCAGAACACTGCTATGAGGGTCGGAATGATTTTCCCTCACAGAGGATTTGAGAACACTCCTGCTGTGTTCTGAATGTTTGTCCCTCACATAGGATTTCAGAAAATTGCTATGAGGTTCTGAATGTTTTACCCTCACACAGAATTCCAGAACACTGCTACGAGAGTCTGAATGATTGTCCCTCACATAAGATTCCATAACACTGCTGCAGGCTTCTGAATGTTTGTCCCTCACATAGGATTCCAGAACCCCCCTGCAGGGGTCTGCATGTATGTCCGTCGCATAGGTTTCCAGAACACTGCTGCTGTGTTCTGAATGTTTCTACCTCACATAGAATTCCAGAACACTGCCACGATGGTCTGAATATTTGTCCGTAACACAGGATTTCAGAACACTCCCGCTGTTATTTGAATGTTTATCCCTCACATTAGATTCCAGAACACTGCTTCGAGGATCTGAATGTTTGTCCCTCACATAGGATTCCAGAACACTGCTACGAGGGTCTCAATGTTTTTCCTTCACATAGGATTCCAACACACTCCTGCTGTGTTCTGAGTGTTTGTCCCTCTCATAGGATTCGAAGGCAATCTTTCTGTGGTATGAATGTTTTTCCCTCACATAGGGTTCCAGAACAATGCTGCTGGGTTCGGAGTGTTTGTCTCTCACTTAGGATTCCAGAACACTGCTACCAGTGTCTGAATGCTTGTCCCTCACATAGGATTCCGGAACATTTCTGCTGGGTTCTGAATGTTTGTCCCTCTCAAAGGATTCCAGAACTCTGGTACAAGTTTCTGAATGTCTGTCTCTCATATGTGATTCCATAACACTGCTTCAGTTGTCTAAATGTTTGTCCGTCATATAGGTTTCCAGAACACTGCTAGGAGGATCTGAGTGTTTATTTCTCACAGGGAATTCCAGAAGACTCCTGCTGTTGTCTGAATGATTGTCTCTTACACAGGATTCCAGAAGACTGCAACGAGGGTCTGAATGTTTGAGCCTCATGTAGGATTCCAGAACAATGGTGCTGAGGTCTGAATCTTTGTCCCTGACATAGTGATTAAGAAAACTGCTAAGAGGGTCTGAATGTTTATCCCTCATGTAGGATTCCAGAACTCTGCTCCTGGGGTCTGAAAGTTTGTCTCTCACATAGGATTCCAGGACACTGCTGCTGGGGTGTACGTGTATCTCCGTCATATAGGATTCCAGAACACTGCTGCTGGATTCTGAGTGTTTCTCCATCACATAGAATTCCAGAACACTGCCACGAGGGTCTGAGTGTTTGTCCATAACTTAGGATTCCAGAACACTCTCGCTGTTGTTTGAATGTTTGTCCCTCACATAGGATTCCAGAACACTGCTGCTGTGGTCTGAATGTTTGCCCCTCACATAGGATTCCAGAACACTGCTACTATTGTCTGAATGTTTGTCTCCTACATAGGATTCCAGAACAATGCTGCTGGATTCTATATGTTTGTTCGTCACATAGGATTGCAGAACACCCCTACGACAGTCTGAATGTTTGTCCCTCACAGGGGATTCCAGAACACTCCTGCTGTAGTCTGAGTGTTTGTCCCTCACATGGGTTTTCCAGAACACTCCTGCTGAGGTCTGAATGATTGTCCCTCACATAAGATTCCAGAAAACTGCTAAGAGGGTCTGAATGTCCCTCACATAGGATTTCAGAACACTGCTGCTGTGGTCTAAATCTTTGTCCGTCACATAGGATTCCAGAACACTGCCACGAGGGTCTGAATGTTTTTCCCACAGAGGGGATTCCAGAACGGTGTGGTCTGAATGTTTGTCCCTCATACAGGGTTCCCGAACACCGCTACGAGGGAATGAATGCTTGTCCCTCACAAAGGATTCCAGAAAACTGCTACGATTGTCTGAGTGTTTGCCCCTCACATAGGATTCCGGAACACAGCTATGAGGGTTTGATTGTTTGGCCCTCATGTAGGATTCCAAAACACACTTACGGTTTTCAGAGTGTTTCTCCCTCACATAGGATTGCAGAACAATCCTGCCGTGTTCTTAATGTTTGTCCCTCATACAGAGTTCCAGAACACTGCTGCTCGGTTCTGAATGTTTGTCCCTCACATAAGATTCCAGAACACCGCTGCTGGTGTCTACATGTATGTCCCCCCACAGGATTCCAGAACACAGCTGATAGGTTCTACTTGTTTCTCCCTCACATAGAATTCCAGAACACTGCAACGAGGGTCTGAATGTTGGTCCGTAACATAGGATTCCAGAAGATTCCCTCTGTTGTTTGAATGTTTGTCCCTCAAATAGGATTGCAGAACACTTCTGCTGTGGTCTAAAAATTTGTACCTCACAGAGGATTCCTGAATAGTACTAAGATTGTCTCAGTGTTTGTCCCTCACATAGAATTCAAAGCATTCCGACGAGGGCCTGAATGTGTGTCCCTCACATTGGATTACAGAACACTGCTACTATTGTCTGAATGTTTATCCCACACATTGGATTCCAGAACACTGCTTCGAGGGTCTGAATGTTTGTCCCTCACATAGGATTCCAGAACATTGCTGCTGGGGTCTAAATGTTTGTCTCTCACTTAGGATTCCAGAACACTGCTACAGAGGTCTGAATGTTGGGTCCTCACAGGGGATTCCAGAACACTCCTGCTGTGGTCTGAATGTCAATCACATGGGATTCCAGAACACTGCTACGAGGGTCTGAATGTTTGTCCCTCACATAGGATTCCAAAACACTCCTGCAGTATTCTGAGAGTTTGTTCCTCACATAGAATTCCAGAGCATACCAGATCTGGTCTGAATCCTTATCCCTTACATAATTTTCCAGAACACCGCTGCTTGGTTCTGAGAGTTTGTCTCTCAGATAGGATACCAGAACACTGCTACGAGGGTCTCAATATTTGTCCCTCACATTGCATTCCAGAATACTGCTGCTGGCGTCTAAATGTTTGTCAGTCACATAAGATTTCAGAACACTGTTAGGGGAGTCTGAATGTTTGTTCCTCACAGGAGATTCCAGAACACTCCTGCTGTGGTCTGAATGTTTCTCTCTAACATAGGATTCCAGAACACTGCTATGGGGGTCTGAATGTTTGTCCCTCACGCAGAAATCCAGGACACTGCTATGAGGATCTGAATGTTTGTCCCTTACATAGGATTCCAAAACACTCCTGCTGTTTTCTGAGTGTATGTTACTCACATAGGAGTCCAGAACAATCCTGCTGTTGTCTGAATGTTTGTCCCTCACATAGGGTTCCTGAATGCTGCTGCTGGTTTCTGAGTGTTTGTCCCTCTTATAGGATTCCAGAACAATTCGACGAAGGTCTGAATGTTTGTCCCTCACATAGGATTCTAGAACACTGCTGCTGGGGTCTACAAGTACATCCATCATATAGGATTCCAGAAAACTGCTGCTGGGTTCTCAGTGTTCCTCCCTCACATACAATTTCAGAACACTGCGATGAGCATCTGAATGTTTGTCCATAACATAGGATTCCAGAACACTCCCGCTGTTGATTGAATGTTTTTCCCTCACAGAAGATTCCAGAACACTTGTGCTGGCTTCTGAATGTTTGTCCCTCACATAGGATTCCAAAACACTGCTACAATTGTCTGAATGTGTGTCCCTCACATACGATTCCAGAACACTGTTACGAGTGTCTGAATATTTGTCCTTAACGTAGGATTACAGAACTCTGTTATAATTGTCGGAAAGTTTGTCCCTCACATAGGATTCCAGAACACTTCTATGAGGGTCTGAATGTTTGTCCCTCACATAAAATGGCAAAACACTGAAGCTGTGTTCCGAGTATTTGTCCCTCACATAGGGACCCAGAAAAATGCTGCTGGGTTCTTAGTGTTTGTCCCTCACATAGGATTCCAGAACACTGCTACTAGTGTCTGAATGTTTGTCCCTCACGTAGCACTCCAGAACACTGCTGCTGGGGTCTCAATGTTTGTCAGTCACATAGGATTCCAGAACACTGCTACGATAGCCTGAATGTTTGTTCTTCATAGGGGATTCCAGAATACTCCTGTTGTGATCTGAATATTTGTCCCTCACACTGGACTCCAGAACACTGCTACGAGGGTCTGAATGATTGTCCCTCAAGCAATATTCCAGAACACTGCTGCTGGGGTCTGAATGATTGTTCCTCACGCAGCATTCCACAGCACTGCTTCTGGGGTCTACATGTATGTCCACTACATAGGATTCCAGAACACTGCAGCTGGGTTCTGAGTGTTTCTCCCTCACAGAGAATTCTAGAACACTGTGACGAGAACCTGAATGTTTGTCTGTAACATAGGATTCCAGAACACTCCCGCTGTTGTTTGAATGTTTGTCCCTCACATAGGATTCCAGAACACTGCTGCTTGGATCAGAAAGTTTGTCCCTTACACAGGATTCCAGAACACTGCTACGATTGTCTGAATATTTCTCCCTCACATAAGATTCCAGAACACTGTTGCTGGGGTTTAAATGTTTGTCTGACACATAGGATTCCAGAACACTGCTACGGGGTTCTGAAAGTTTGTTCCTCACAGGTGATTCCAGAACACTCCTTTTGTGGTCTGAATGTTGGCCCTGAAGCAGAATTCCAGAACAGTGCTGTGTGGGTCTGAATGATTGTCCCTTACATCGATGCCAGAACACTGCTGCAGGGGTCTGAATGTTTGTCCCTCACATAGGATTCCAGAAAACTTCTAAGAGGGTCTGAATGCTTGTCCCTCACACAGAATTCCAGAGCACTGCTATGAGGGTCTGAATGATTGCAAATCACATAGGATTCCAGAACACTGCTGCGGGGGTCTGAACATTTGTCAATCACATAGGATTCCAGAACACTGCTGCTGGGGTCTACATGCATGTCCATCACATAGGTTTCCAGAACACTGCTGCAGGGTCTAAATGTTAGTCCGTCACATAGGATTCCAGAACAATGCTACGAGGGTCTGAATGTTTGTCCGAAACATAGAATTCCATAATTCTCCCGCCGTTGTTTGAATGTTTGTCCCACACATAGTATTCGAAAACACTACATCTGGGGTCCGAATGTTTGTCCCTCACATAGGATTCCAGAACATCCCTGTTGTGGTCTGAATGTTCGTCCTCACACAGAATTGCAGAACACTGATACGAGTGTCTGAGTGATTGTCCCTCACGTCGGATTCCAGAACACTGCTGCTGGGGTCTGAATTTTCTCCCTCACATAGAATTCTGAAGGGGTGGGTTGCCCCTCCACACCTGTGGGTTTTTCTTGTTAGGTGGAATGAGAGACATGGAAAAGAAAAAGACACAGAGACAAAATATAGAGAAAGAAATAAGGGGACCCAGGGAACCAGCGTTCAGCATATGGAGGATCCCGCCAGCCTCTGAGTTCCCTTAGTATTTATTGATCATTTGTGGGTGTTTCTCCGAGAGGGTGATGTGTCAGGGTCACAAGACAATAGTGGGGATAGGGTCAGCAGACAAACACGTGAACAAAGGTCTTTGCATCATAGACAAGGTAAAGAATCAAGTGCTGTGCTTTTAGATATGCATACACATAAACATCTCAATGCTTTACAAAGCAGTATTGCTGCCCGCATGTCCCACCTCCAGCCCTAAGGCGGTTTTTCCCTATCTCAGTAGATGGGACGTACATTCGGGTTTTATACCGAGACATTCCATTGCCCATGGACGGGCAGGAGACAGATGCCTTCCTCTTGTCTCAACTGCAAGAGGCATGCCTTCCTCTTATACTAATCCTCCTCAGCACAGACCATTTACGGGTGTCGGGCTGGGGGACGGTCAGGTCTTTCCCTTCCCATAAGGCCATATTTCAGACTATCCCATGGGGATATACCTTGGACACTACCTGGCTTTCCTAGGCAGAGTTCCCTGCGGCCTTCCGCAGTTTTTGTGTCCCTGGGTACTTGAGATTAGGGAGTAGTGATGACTCTTAAGGAGCATGCTGCCTTCAAGCAACTGTTTAACAAAGCACATCTTGCACAACACTTAATCCATTTAACCCTGAGTTTGACACAGCACATATTTCAGAGAGCACGGGGTTGGGGGTAAGGTCATAGATTAACAGAATCTCAAGGCAGAATAATTTTTCTTAGTACAGAACAAAATGGAGTCTCCTATGTCTACTTCTTTCTACACAGACACAGTAACAATCTGATCTCTCTTGCTTTTCCCCACAGAATTCCAGAGCATTGCAACGAGGGTCTGAATGTTTGCATGAAACATATGATTCCAGGACACTAGTGCTGTTGTTTCAATGTTTGTCCCACACATATGATTCGAAAACACTACTGCTGGGGTCTGAGTTTTTGTCCCTCACATAGGGTTCCAGAACACTGCTACGAGGGTCTGAATGATTGTCCCTCACGTAGGATTCCAGAACACTACCGCTGGGGTAAAAATGTTTTTCTGTCACAAAGGATTCCAGAACACGAGGGTCTGCATGTTCGTTTCTCACGAGGTATTCCAGAACACTCCTGCTGTCGTCTGAATGTTTGTCCCTCACACAGGATTCCAGAATACTACTACGAGTGTCTGAATATTTGTCCCTCAAAGAGAATTCCAGAACACTGCTACGAGGTTCGGAATGATTGTCCATCACATAGGATTCCAGAACACTGCTGCTGGGCTCTTATGTTTGTCCCTCACTTAGGATACCAGAACACTCCTACTATTGTCTGAAAGTTTGTCCTTCACATAGAGTATCAGAACACGGCTACGATGGTCTGAATGTTCGTACCACACTTGGGATTCCAGAACACTCCTGCTGGAGTCTAAATGTTTGTCCCTCACATAGGATTCCAGAACACTGCTACGTGGATCTCAATGTTTGTTCCTCACAGTAGTTTCCACAACACTCTTGCTGTGGTCTGAATATTTGTCAATCACATTGGATTCCAGAACACTGCTACAAGGGTCTGTATGTTTGTCCCTCACATAGGATTCCAAAACACTCCTGCTGTGGTCTGAATATTTGTCAATCACATTGGATTCCAGAACACTGCTACGAGGGTCTGTATGTTTGTCCCTCACATAGGATTCCAAAACACTCCTGCTGTGTTCTGAATGTGTGTCCAACACATAGGATTCCAGAGCAATCCTACTCTGGTCTGAATGTTTGTCTATTACATAGTTTTCCAGAACACTGCTGCTTGGTTCCGAGTGTTTATTCCTCACATAGGATTCCAGAACACTGCTACTAGGTTCTGAATGTTTCTCCCTCACAGAGGATTCCAGAACACTCCTGTGGTGGTCTGAATTTTTGTCCGTCACATTGGATTCCAGAACACCGCTACGAGGGTCTGAATGTTTGTCTCTCACACAGAATTCCAGAACACTGCTACGAGGGTCTGAATGATTGTCCCTCACATAGGATTCCAGAACACTCCTGCTGTGGTCTGAAAGTTTGTCCCTCACATAGCATTCAAGAATACTGCTGCTGGGTTTTGAGTGTTTGTCCCTCACATAGGATTTCAGAACACTGTTACCATTGTCTGAATGTTTGTCCCTCGCATAGGATTCCAGAACACTGCTGCTGGGGTCTAAAAGTTTGTCTGTCACGTAGGATTCCAGAACACTGCTACGACTGTCTAAACGTTTGTTCCTCACAGAGGATTCCAGAACACTACTGCTGTTGTCTGAATGTCCCTCACAAAGGATTTCAGAACACTGCTACGAGGGTCTGAATGTTTTTCCCTCACACAGAATTCCAGAACACTGCTATGAGGGACTGAATGATTCTCCCACACACAGAATTCCAGAACACTGTTACGAATTTCTGAATGATTGTCACTCACATAGGATTGCAGAACACTGCTTCTGGGGTCTGAATCTTTGTCTCTCACATAGGATTCTGGAACACTTCCGCTGGGGTCTACATGTATGTCCATCACATGGGATTCTAGAACACTGCTGCTGGGATCTGAGTGTTTCTCACTCACATATAACTCCAGATCACTGTGAAGAGTGTCGGAATCTTTGTCCATAATATAGGATGTCAGAACAATCCCGCAGTTGTTTGAATGTTTTTCCCTCACATAGGATTGCAGAACACTGTCCCTGGGGTCCGAATGTTTGGCCCACACATAGGTTTCCAGAACACTGCTAGGATTGTCTGAATTTTTGTCCCTCACTTAGGATTCCAGAACAATGTTACGAGTGTCTGAATGATTGTCCCTCACATAGGATTCCAGGACACTGCTGCTGTGATCTAAATGTTTGCCCATCACATAGGATTCCAGAAGACCATTACGAGGGTATGAATGTTTCTTCCTCACAGGGGATTGCAGAACACTCCTGCTGTGGTCTGAATGTTTGTTCCTCACATAGGATTCCTGAACACTTCTATGAGGGTCTGAATGTTTGTCCCTCACGTAGGATACCAGAACACTACTGCTGTGGTCTGAATGTTTGCCCTCACATAGAATTCCAGTACACTGCGACGAGGGTCTGAATGATTTTCCTAAACATAGGATTCCAGAACACTCCCGCTGTTGTTTGAATGATTGTCCCTCACATAGGATTCCAGAACACTGCTGCTGTTGTCTAAATGTTTGTCAGTCACATAGGATTCCAGAACACTGCTACGAGGGTCTGAATGTTTGTTCCTCACCGGGCATTCCACAACAATCCTGCTGTTGTCTGAATGTTTTTTCCTCACACAGGATTCCAGAATAATGACACGAGGGTATGAACGTTTGTCCCTGACCCAGAATCCAGAACACTGCTATGAGGATCTGAATGATTGTCCCTCAAATAGGATTCCAGAACACTGCTGCTGGGATCTGAATGTGTGTCCCTCATATAGGATTCCAGAACACTGCTACGAGGTTCTGAAACTTTGTCAATCACACAGAATTCCAGAACACTGCTATGAGGGTCTGAATGATTGTCCCTTACATAGGATTCCAGAACACAGCTGCTGCGGTCTGAATGTTTCTCCCTCACGTAAGATTCCAGAACACTGCCACGATTCTCTCAATGTTTGTCCCTCACATAGGATTCCAGAACACTGCTATGAGGGTCTGAATATTTGTCCCTCACATAGGATTAAAGAACACTACTGCTGTGGTCTCAATGTTTGTCCCTCACATGGGATTCCTGAACAATGTTAAGAGGGTCTGAAAGATTTTTCCTCACATCGGATTCCAGAACAATCCTGTTGTGGTCTGAATGTTTGTCCCTCACACAGGATTCCAGAACACTGCTGCAGGCGTCTTAATGTTTGTCCCTCACTCATAATTCCAGAACACTGCTAAGAGGGTCTGAATGATTGTCCCTCACATAGGATGCCAAAACACTGCTGCTGGAGTCTGAATGTTTGTCTCTCACATAGGATTCCAGAACACTGCTGCTGGGGTCTACATGTATGACAGTCATGTAGGATTCCAGAACACTTCTACGATTGTCAGACTGGTTGTCCCTCACATGGGATTCCGGAACACTGCTATGAGTTTCTGAATGTTTGTCTCTCACATAGGATTCCAGAACACTGCTACCGTGGCCTGAATGTTTTCCCCTCACATAGGATTCCAGAACACACATTCGAGGGTCTCAATGTTTGTTCCTCACACAGAATCCCAGAACACTGCTATGAGAGTCTGAATGATTTTTCCTCACATAGTTTTCCATAACAATGCTGTCTTGGTCTGAATGTTTGTCCCTCACATAGGATTCCATACCACTGCTGCTGGGGTATACATGTGTGTCTGTCACATAGGATTCCGGAGCACTGCTGCTGGGTTCTGAGTCTTTCTCCCTCACATAGAACTCCAGAGCACTGCGACAAGGTTCTGAAAGTTTGTTTGCAATAAAGGATTCCAGAACACTCCCGCTGTTGTTTCAATGTTTGTAACTCACATAGGATTCCGGAATACTTTTGCTGAGGTCTAAATGTTTGTCCGTCACTTAGGATTCCAGAACACTGCTACAAGGGTCTGAAGGTTTGTCTCTCACACAGAATTCCAGAACACTGCTACGATGGTCTGAATGATTGTCCCTCACATGGGACTCCAGAACACTGCTGCTGGGTTCTGAATGTTTGTCCCTCACATAGGATTCCATGACACGGCTTCAGGGGTCTACAGGTATGTCCGTCACATGGTATTCCAGAACAATGCTGCAGGATTCTGAGTGTTCCTCCCTCACAAAGAATTCCAGAAGACTGCGACGAGGATCTGAATGTTTGTCCATAACTTAGGATTCCAGAAGACTCCCGCTGTTGTTTGAATGTTTGTCCCTCACGTAGGATTCCAGAAGACTCCCGCTGTTGCTTGAATGTTTGTCCCTCACATAGGATTCCAGAACACTGCTGCTTGAGTCTGAAAGTTTTTTCTTCACACAGGATTCCAGAACACTGCTATGATTGTCTGAATGTTTGTCACTCCATAGGATTCCAGAACACTGCAACGAGGGTCTGAAAGTTTGTCTCTCACTGTGGATTCCAAAACACTCTGCTGTGGTCTGAATGTTTGTCCCTCACTTAGGATCCAGAACAGTGATACGAGGGTCTGAATGTTCGTTCCTCTCTTAGGACTCTAGAACACTGCTACGATTGTCTGAAAGTTTGTCCCTCACTTAGGATCCAGAACAGTGATACGAGGGTCTGAATGTTTGTCCCTCACATAGGATTCCAGAACACTCCTGTTGTGGTCTGAATGTCTGTCCCTCTTATAGGGTTGCAGAACACTGTTTCTAGATTGTCAGTGTTTGTCCCTCACATAGGATTCTGGAACACTGCTACAAGGGTCTGAATATTTGTCACACACATAGGATTCCAAAACACTGCTGCTGGGGTCTCAGTGTTTGTCCCTCACACAGGATTCCAGAACACTGCTACTGGGGTCTACATGTATGGCTGTCACATAGGATTCCAGATCACTGCTGCTGGGTTCTGAATGTATCTCCCTCACATAGAATTCCAGAACACTGCGACGAGAGCCTGAATGTTTCTCCATAAAGTAGTATTCCGGAACACTCTCGCTGTAGTTTGAATGTTTGTCCTTCACATAGGATTCCAGAACACTGCCACGAGGTTCTGAATGTTTGTTCCTTACTGGGGATTCCAGAACACTCCTCTTGTGTTGTGAATATTTATCCATCACACAGGATTCCAGAACACTCCTATGAGGGTCTCAACGTTGGTCCCTCTCATATGGTTCCAGAACACTGCTAGTAGGTTCTCAGTGTTTGTCCCAAACCTAGGATTCCAGAATACTGCTGCTGGCGTCTAAATGTTTGTCCATCACATAGGATTCCAGAACACTGCTATGAGGGTTTGAATGATTGTCCCTCACGTAGGATTCCAGAACACTGCTGCTGGGGTCTACAGGTACGTCCATCACATAGGATTCCAGAACACTGATACGAGGTTCTGAATATTTGCTCCTCACAGGGGATTCCAGAAACCTCCTGCTGTGTTCTGAATGTTTGTCCCTCACACAGGATTCCAGAACACAGCTACAAGGGTCAGAATGTTTGTCCCTCACACAGAATTCCAGAACACTGCTATAATGGTCTGAATGATTGTCCCTCACATGGGACTCCAGAACACTGTTGCTGGGTTCTGAATGTTTGTCCCTCACGTAGGATTCCAGAAGATGGCTGCAGGGCTCTACATGTATGTCTGTCACATGGGATTCCAGAACAATGCTGCAGGATTCTGAGTCTTCCTCCCTCACATAGAACTCCAGAAAACTGAGACGAGGGTCTGAATGTTTGTCCGTAACATAGGATTGCAGAAGACTCCCGCTGTTGTTTGAATGTTTGTTTCTCACATAGAATTCCAGAACACTGCTGCTTGAGTCTGAAGGTTTTTCCTTCACACAGGATTCCAGAACACTGTTACGATTGTCTGAATGTTTGTCACTCTGTAGGATTCCAGAACACTGCAAAGAAGGTCTGAAAGTTTGTCCCTCACTGTGGATTCCAGAACACTCTGCTGTGGTCTGAATATTTATCCCTCACTTCGGATCCAGAACAGTGATACGATGGTCTGAATTTTCGTCCCTCACTTAGGATTCCCCAACACTGCTACGATTGTCTGAGTGATTGTCCCTCACATAGGATTCCAGAACACTCCTGCTGTAGTCTGAATGTCTGTACCTCACATAGGGTTGCAGAACACTGCTGCTAGATTCTCAGTGTCTGTCCCTCACATAAGATTCCGGAACACTGCTACAAGGGTCTGAATATTTGTCACACACATAGGATTCCAAAACACTGCTGCTAGGGTCTGAATGTTTGTCCCTCACACAGGATTCCAGAACACTGCTGCTGGGGTCTACATGTATGGCCGTCACATAGGATTCCAGATCACTGCTGCTGGGTTCTGTATGTTTCTCCCTCACATAGAATTCCAGAACACTGCGACGAGGGTCATAATGTTTCTCTGTAACGTAGCATCCCACAACACTCTTGCTGTTGTTTGAATGTTTGTCCCTCACATAGGATTCCAGTGCACTGCTACTGGGGGCGGAGTTTTTGTCCCTCCCATAGGATTCCAGAACACTGCTACGATTATCTGAATGTTTGTCCCTCACATAGGATTCCAGAAAAATCCTACGAGGGTCTGGGTGTTTGTCCCTCACAGAGGATTCCAGAATACTGCTATGATTGTCTGAATGTTTGTCACTCACATAGGATTCCAGATCAGTGCTACGAGGGTCTGAATGTGTTTCCCTAACATAGGATTCCTGAATACTGCAACGAGGGTCTGAATGTTTGTCTGTAACATAGGATTATGGAACACTACCCCTGTTGTTTGACTGTTTGACACTCACATTGGATTCCAGAACACTGCAACTAGGGTCTGAATGTTTGTCCCTCACATAGGATTCCAAAACACTCCTGCCATGCTCTGAGTGTTTATCCCTTACACAGGATTCCAGAACAATCCTGCTGTGGTCTGAAAGTTGTTCCCTCACATAGGGTTCCAGAACACTGCTGCTGGGTTCTGAGTGTTTTTTCCTCACATAGGATTTCATAACACTACCGGAAGGGTCTGAATGTTTGTCCCTCACATAGCATTCCAGAACACTGCTGTTGGGGTCTAAGTGTTTGTCCGTCACATAGGATTCCAGAACACTGCCACGAGGTTCTGAATGTTTGTTCCTTACAGGGGATTCCAGAACAATCCTGTTGTGTTGTCAATGTTTGTCCCTCACACAGGATTCCAGAACACTGCTATGAGGATCTGAATTTTTGTCCCTCACACAGAATTCCAGAACACTGCTATGAGGGTCTGAATGATTTTCCCTCACGTAGCATTCCAGACACCGCTGCTGAGGTCTGAATGTTTGTCCCTCACATAGGATTACAGAACCCTGCCCCTGGGTTCTGAGTGTTTCTCCCTCACATAGAATTACAGAACACTGTGACGAGGGTCTGAATGATTGTACCTCACACAGGATTCCAGAACACTCCTATGAGGGTCTGAATGTTTGTTCCTCACATACGATTCCAGAACACTGCTATGAGGGTCTGAAGGTTTGATTCTCACACAGAATTCCTGCACACTGCTACGAGGGTCTGAATGATTGTCCCTCCCATAGGATTGCAGAACACTGATGCTGGGGTCTGAATGTTTTTCCTTCCCATAGGATTCCAGAACACTACTGCTGGGTCTACATGTATGTCAGTCACATAGGATTCCAGAACACTACTGCTGGGTTCTGAGTGTTTCTCCCTCATATAGATTTGCAGAAGACTGCGACGGGGGTCTAATGTTTGTCCGTAACATAGGATTCCAGAACACTCCAGCTGTTGTTAGAATGTTTTTCTCTCACGTAGGATTGCAGAATACTGCTTCTTGGGTCTGAATGTTTGTCTCTCACACAGAATTCCAGAACACTGCTACGATGGTCTGAATGCTTATTCCTCATATAGGATTCCAGAACACTGCTGTGAGGGTCTGCATGTTTGTCCCTCAGATAGGATTCCTGAACAATCCTGCAGTGGTCTGAATGTTTGTCCCTCACAGGGGATTCCAGAACAAACCAGCCGTGGTCTGAATGTTTGTTACTCACTTAAGTTTCCAGAACACTGCTCCTGGGTTCTGAATGTTTGTCCCACTCAAAGAATTCCAGAACACTGCTACGATTGTTTATCCCTCATATAGGATTCCAGTACACTGCAATGAGGGTCTGGATGATTGTGCCTCACATAAGATTACAGAACACTGCTGCTGGGGTCTAAATTTTTGTTCTTCACATAGAATTGCAGAACACTAATAAGAGAGTATGAACACTTGTTCCTCAAAGGGGATTCCAGATCACTCCTGATGTAGTCTCAATGTTTGTCCCTCACACAGGTTTCCAGAACACTGCTACGAGGGTTTGAACGTTTGTCCCTCAAACAGAATTCCAGAACACTGCTACGAGTTTCTGAATGATTGTCCCTCACATAGGATTCCAGAACACTGCTGCTGGGGTCTACATGTATGTCCATCACACCGGATTCCAGAACACTTCTGCTGGATTCTGAGTGTTTGTCCCTCACATAGAATTCCAGAACACTGCAACGAGAGTCTGAACGTTTGTCCGTAACATAGGATTCCAGAACACTGCTACGACTCTTTGAAAGTTTTTCCCTCACATAGGATTCCCCAACACTGCTACGAGGGTTTGAATGTTTTTCCCTCACATAGGATTCCAGAACACTGCTGCTGGGGTCTGAATGTTTGTCCCTCACATAGGATTCCAGAACACTGCTACGAGGGTCTGAATATTTGTGTCTCACATAACATTGCAAAACACTCCAGCTGTGTTCTGAGTGTTTGTCCCTCACATAGGATTCCATAACAATCCTGCTGTGATCTGAATGTTTGTTCCTCACATAGGGTACCAGAACACTGCTGCTGTGTTCTGAGTGTTTGTCTCTCACTTAGGATTCCAGAACACTGCTAAGAGGTTCTGAATGTTTGTCCCTCACACAGGACTCCAGAACACTGCTTCTGGGGTCTAAATATTTGTCAGTCACATCTGATTCCACTACACTGCTACAAGGTCCTGAATGTTTGTTCCTCATAGCGGATTCCAGAACAGTCCTGCTGTGGCCAGAATGTTTGTCCCTCACACAGAATTCCAGAACACTGCTACAAGGGTCTGAATGATTGTCCCTCACATAGGATTCCAGAACACTTCTTCTGGGGTCTATATGTATGTCCGTCACATAGGATTCCAGAACACTGCTGCTGGGTTATAAGTGTTTCTCCCTCACATGGAATTCCAGAATACTGTGATAAGGGTCTGAATGTTTGTCCATAACATAGGATTCAAGAACACTACCGCTGGTGTCTGGTTGTTTGTCCCACACATAGTATTCCGGGACACTGCTACGATTGTCTGAAGGTTTGTCACTCACATAGGATTCCAGAACACTTCTTTGAGGGTCTGAATCTTTGTCCCTCACATAGGATTCCAGAACACTGCTGCTGGTGTCTGAATGTTTGTCCCACACATAGTATCCCAGAACACTGCTACGATTGTCTGAATGTTTGTCGCTCACGTAGGATTCCAGAACAATACTATGAGGGTCTGAATGTTTGTCCCTCAAATGGAATTAAAGAACACTGCTACAATTGTCTGAATGTTTGTTCTTCACATAGGATTCCAGAACACTGCTTCTGGGGTCTACATGTATGCCCGTCACATAGGATTCCAGAACACTGTTGCCGGGTTCTGAGTGTTTGTCACTCACATAGAATTCCAGAACACTGCGACGAGGGTCTTAATGTTTGTCCCTAACATGGGATTCCAGAACACTCCCACAGCTGTTTGAATGTTTGTCCCTCATATAGGATTCCAGAACACTGCTGCTTGGGTCAGAAAGTTTGTCCCTCACGCAGGACTGCAGAACACCCCTGCTGTGGGCTTAATGTTTGTACCTCACATGGGATTCCAGAACACTGCCACAAGGGTCTGATTGTTTTTCCCTCTCGTAGGATTCCAAAACACTCCTGCTATGTTCTCAGTGTTCCTTCCTCACATAGGATTCCAGAACACTGCTGCTGGGGTCTGAATGTTTGCCCCTCAAGTAGGATTCCACAACACTGCTACGATTGTCTGAATGTTTGTCCCTCACATAGGATCCCAGAACACTGCTGCTGGGGTCTACATGTATGTCCGTAACATACGATTCCAAGACACTGTTGCTGGATTCTGAGTGTTTCTCCCTTACGTAGATTTCCAGAAAACAGGGACGAGGCTCTGAATGTTTGTCTATAACAGAGGATTTCAGAACACTCTCGCTGTTGTTTGAAAGTTTGTCCCTCCCTAAGGGGGACAAACTTTGTGTCTCTATTTCCTTCAGTTCTGCTCTGATTTTAGTTATTTCTTGCCTTCTGCTAGCTTTTGAATGTGTTTGCTCTTGATTCTCTAGTTCTTTTAATTGTGATGTTAGGGTGTCAATTTTGGATCTTTCCTGCATTCTCTTGTGGGCATTCAGTTTTATAAATTTCCCTCTACACACTGCTTTAAATGTGTCTCAGAGATTCTGGTATGTTGTGTCTTTGTTCTCATTGGTTTCAAAGAACATCTTTATTTCTGCCTTCATTTCATTATGTACCCAGTAGTCATTCAGGAGAAGGTTTTTCAATTTCCATGTAGTTGAGCGGTTTTGAGGGAGTTTCTTAATCCTGAGTTCTAGTTTGATTGCACTGTGGTCTGAGAGACAGTTTGCTATAATTTCTGTTCTTTTACATTTGCTGAGGAGAGCTTTACTTCCAACTATGTGGTCAATTTTGGAATAGGTGTGGTGTGGTGCTGAAAAAAATGTATATTCTGTTGATTTGGGGTGGAGAGTTCTGTAGATGTCTATTATGTCCGCTTGGTGCAGAGCTGAGTTCAATTCCTGGGTATCCTTGCTAATTTTCTGTCTCTTTGATCTGTCCAGTGTTGACAGTGGGGTATTAAAGTCTCCCATTATTATTGTGTGGGAGTCTAACTCTCTTTGTAGGTCAGTCAGGACTTGCTTTATGAATCCGGGTGCTCCTGTATTGGATGCATATATGTTTAGGATAGTTAGCTCTTCTTGTTGAATTGATCCCTTTACCATTATGTAATGGCCTTCTTTGTCTCTTTTTATCTTTGTTGGTTTAAAGTCTGTTTTATCAGAGACTAGGATTGCAAACCCTGCCTTTTTTTGTTTTCCATTTTCCTGGTAGATCTTCCTCCATCCCTTTATTATGAGCCCAAACCCTAGAAGGAAACCTAGGCAATACCATTCAGGACATAGGCATGGGCAAGGACTTCATGTCTAAAACACCAAAAGCAATGGCAACAAAAACCAAAATTGACAAATGGGACCTAATTAAACTAAAGAGCTTCTGCACAGCAAAAGAAACTACCATCAGACTGAACAGGCAACCTATAAAATGGGAGAAAATTTTTGCAACCTACTCATCTGACAAAGGGCTAATATCCAGAATCTACAATGAACTCAAACAAATTTACAAGAAAAAACAAACTACCCCATCAAAAAGTGGACAAAGGATATGAACAGACACTTCTCAAAAGAAGACATTTATGCAGCCAAAAGACACATGAAAGGATGCTCATCATCACTGGCCATCAGAGAAATGCAAATCAAAACCACAATGAGATACCATCTCACACCAGTTAGAATGGCAATCATTAAAAAGTCAGGAAACAACAGGTGCTGGGGAGGATGTGGAGAAATAGGAACACTTTTACACTGTTGGTGGGACTGTAAACTAGTTCAACCATTGTGGAAGTCACTGTGGTGATTCCTCAAGGATCTAGAACTAGAAATACCATTTGACCCAGCCATCCCATTACTGGGCATATACCCAAAGGTTTATAAATCATGCTGCTATAAAGACACATGCACACATATGTTTATTGTGGCACTATTCACAATAGCAAAGACTTGGAACCAACCCAAATGTCCAACAATGATAGACTGGATTAAGAAAATGTGGCACATATACACCACTGAATACTATGCAGCCATAAAAAATGATGAGTTCATGTCCTTTGTAGGGACATGGATGAAACTGGAAACCATCATTCTCAGCAAACTATCGCAAGAACAGAAAACCAAACACCACATGTTCTCACTCATAGGTGGGAATTGAACAATGAGAAAACATGGACACAGGAAGGGGAACATCACACACCAGGGACTGTTGTGGGTTGGGGGAAGGGGGCAGGGATAGCATTAGGAGATATAGCTAATGCTAAATGACGAGTTAATGGGTGCAGCACACCAACATGGCACATGTATACATATGTAACAAACCTTCACGTTGTGCACATGTACCCTAAAACTTAAAGTATAATAATAATAAAATAAAATAAAATAAAATAAAAAAGAGAGGAAGTAAGCCATCCTGATTCCTGATGAGAAAGCATTCCAGGCAAAGGGGACCACACATGCAAAGGCCCTGAGGCAGAACACATCTGTCTGGTGTCTTTGAAGATGCAATAATACAGGGGAGACTGATTGGACTAGACATCAGAGAAGTGTCAGGGGACAAGATGGTTTAAAACATTCCTAGCCATGGAAGGTTTTAAGCAGATGAAAACATTATTTTCCTTATGCTTTAAAAAGACTTACTCTGGATCACCTGAGGTCAGGAGTTCGAGACCTGCCTGGCCAACATGGCAAAAGCTCATCTCTATTAAAAACACAAAAAATTAGCCAGGCTTGGTGGTGCATGCCTGTAATCCCAGCTACTTGGGAGGCTGAGGCAGGAGAATCACTTGAACCAGGAGGTAGAGGTTGTAGTCAACCCAGATTGCACCACTGCACTCCAGCCTGGGCGACAGAGGAGACTCTGTCTCAAAAAAAAAAATAAAAAATAAAATAAAGACTTACTCTGGTTGCTCAGTGAAGAACAAAGTACAAGGAGAAAGAGAAAGTGGGAAAGGAGTTAGGAGGCTATTTTGGTAATCCCATGAAAGCAATGACGTAAAGTGAAGCAGGTTGTACACAATGGGTGTGGCAAGGGAAGCTCAGATTCTTAATACAGTTCAACAGTGTATGCTGATACGAGGTGCAAGAAACAAAGTGGGGTCAAGGCAAGTTTACTGTCCTAACG
>NW_012132920.1:1869010-1917518 GCF_000001405.40 Homo sapiens
CACAATCCCACAAAGAAAAATCAAGTGAAGGTCAAGGAAAGCCGCATGTTCTAAATTACGGAATCAACAACAGTATTTCTTGTCATTAATCACATTTCAGTCATAAAAGACATTACCTCAACAACAGGTGTATTTTCCTGGAGCTCAGTTGTGTGAAAAGCCAGTAAACCAACCACCCAAGCAACGTTGGCCCATCTGTAAACGGAGAGAAAACAGGCTCTGAAGAGTAGGTACTGAGGAAACTAACCCCAGCTAGTTACATAATGCAACGAAGAGCATTAGATGTAAGACTGTGAAACAAAAATTGAATGTGACAGGTCAGGCCCACACTCCCCATTCTCTGGGCATCTACACAGCCCAGAGAATCTCTCCCTCATATACACAGGGAGACACGAACTGTAATGACTGCGGCAATTCTGCAATAGCAACAAAATTTAAACAAGTTATGGTGTAATAGTAAAAGGAAAAATAAAATTTTTTAAAAGCCTTAACCAGAGAAAAGAGCAAAACAGTAATTAATCATTTTATTTCTGAGTACAGAGGCATTTGGCTAAAGGTCTCTTTTCTAATTGTTAGTAGATCAGTGAGTTTCTATGTAAGTGCTAAATATCTGAACAATAACATACCTGTATGCATTAAGTTTAAAAGAAACTTTTACAATTAAAAGTGTTTAAAATATTGTACTATTTCCATAAACACTAGTCTTAATGAGGTGTTCCTTTAGTGTCCAGCAGAAAACTGAATTTGATAAATCACTATTAATAAATCACAGTGTGATTTGAAAAGGTATTTCATGCAGAAAAATTCGTTTTGAAGAGATTTTTTCTAATTGAAACAAATGGTGAGTTGATGAGAACTGCACTCATTGAGTGATGTCTGCATGTTGTCTGGGGTAATCAGTATGTACCTTAGCTTTTATTTTTTACCTTCTTAAAGTAAACCCATGTGTGGCCAGGCATGGTGGCTCACGCCTGTAATCCCAGCACTTTGGGAAGCCGAGGCAGGCGGATCACAAGGTCAGGAGATCAAGACCATCCTGGCTAACCCAGTGAAATCCTGTCTCTACGAAAAATACAAAAAACTTAGCTGGGTGTGGTGGCAAGCACCTGTAGTCCCAGCTACTCGGGAGGCTGAGGCAGGAGAATGACGTGAACCTGGGAGGTGGCGCTTGCAGTGAGCCGAGATCACGTCAGTGCACTCCAGCCTGGGTGACAAAGTGAGACTCTGTCTCAAAATAAATAAATAAATAAATAAATAAATAAACCTATGTGGCACCCATGGGGGAAAACAAATCAGACTCAGAGAAGTACTACCGGGAAAAGGTCTGCTTTATCACAACTCTAACATACGGAAATAATTCTTAGAAATTTCAACACTTATTAAATTGCCCATTAAAATTTCTTAACATATACAAATTAAAGAAGTCCTAGGCAATTGGAGAGTTAGCATCCCACCTCCAAATAAAAAGATTATAGGTTAAAAGTAATCATTTTGAAAAATATCTGTAGGATAATTGGAAAAGCCATCCTACCACCACAACCCCCCAAGTAGCTGGGACTACAGGCGTGCACCACCACGCTCAGCTAATTTTTTTACTTTTTGTAGAGATGGGGTCTTGTTATGATGCCCAGGCTGGCCTTGAACTCCTAACAAACAATCCTCCTATCTCAGCCTCCCAAACTGCTGAGATTACAGGCCTGAGCCACTGCACCTGCCTATCTCTTTCCAAAGACAAGCTCAAAATACTTTTGAAACACTGAACCATTTTTCAATCTATAAAAGTAAATAATGGCTACCAGATTTAATCAACTAAAATAAAAATCTAACAACATGTCAGTTATTTTCCCTAATATGACCAAAACAATTATTATTAGAATAAGAGAAAACACACTACCTAAAAACCCTATACTTTTAAAATAGAAACTTTAAATAGCTTATGAATAGTCACTTTTTACCAAAATCCTAAATACAAGTACCACATGCCCCATAGACAACACCCTCACAGTACAGGTTCCTTCTCAAAATTCAGGTTTTCTCAGGTCACCACTCCAGGTGCCCCCAGTGACTTGACACTGTACCTCAGAACCAACCCATCTCCATGACGGCATCTAAGGCACCACTGTCTACCAAACCTTCGTGCACTGACAAATGTCCCACATCTGCACTGTTCAATCCAGTATCCACTAGACACATGACTATCAAGCACATAATATATGACACATGCAAGTGAGGAACAACAAATTTTATTCAAATTAATTTTTTTTTTTTTTTTGGGAGACAGGGTCATCCAAGCTAGAGAGCAGTGGCGCAGTCTCCGCTCACTGCAATGCCTCCCGGGCTCAAGTAATCCTCCCAACTCAGCCTCCCAAATAGCCGGGACTATAGGTGTGTGTCACCACACCTGGCTAATTTTTGTATTTTTAGTAAAAACGGGGTTTCGTCATGTTGTCCAGGCTGGTCTTGAGCTCCTGAGCTCAACTGATCTGCCCACCTCAGCCTCCCAAAGTGCTGGGATTACAGGCGTTAGCTACTGCATCTCGCCTTAACTTTTCTTTTAAAAATTACTCCCACAGTTGAGGGTGAGGGAGACAGTGCCCTGGGGTAATTACTCATCTTTCATGTGCCTAGTCCTGGTTACCTCATAAGTAGGACCGATAACAATACATACCGCATGTTGTTAAAAGAATCAAAGGAGATAATCCATGTGCAGAAAGTACCATTGTGTCTGACAATACATGCTGAATGAGTAAGCTACTATTAATTTAATTAATTTAAATGACCCCCATGAAGTGAATGGCTACCACATTAGAGCAGAACTAAAATTTTGCAGTTACTTATTCATTCGTTGACTGGTTTATTGTCTGTCTCCCCGACCAGCCCAGAAGATCCATGAAGGCAGGGCTGTATCCCGATCGCCACTGTGACACCTAGACAGTGCTTGGAGCGCACTCGGGCATCTAAAAATGTTGGTTGAACAAATATATCAACATCAAAAGCAAAATAAACACATTAGTAGGAAAGGAGTGCATAAAAGTATGGCTGTACAAGGCAAACAAAATGCAAACAGGATTGCCAATGTAAATCTCAGCAGAATTCAAGGCTAAACTCTTCAGAAAAAGATTCCCTTTAAACTAAACACCATATGACCTACAAAAGATCTAAGGTGTGAATCTTTATACACCAAATAACAAAGCACGCAAAGTAAACCCATGGTAGTGGTAAACTTCAATTTTCTTCTCTTCCAAGCACAGAGAGAAGGCAATAATGAATATATTAATCAATACATTCATACATTCAAGCATCCTAAATAAAACTAATGAAGTCAAAGTAACAGACGTATCTATCAAACTCTACACCCTACAAACAGTGACCACCCTTACTCAGTGGGAGGCTGCATAGGATGGTGTCTAACACTCTAGAATTCAAAGTCTTGGACCTAGCTCTGGCCCAACATTGGAGGTGAGGGAGACAGTACCCTGGGATAATTACTCATCTTTCATGAGCCTGGTTTCATGTTGTTCTAAGAATCAGGAGATAATCCACATGCAGAAATTACCACTGTGTCCTGACAATTTGTGCTGACTGAGCAAGCTACTATTACTACATTATTATCAATACTTGACTACATTCATGGCATACATTTAAAATGATTTTATATTAGACCACAAAGATAAATCTTTAGAATTCCCTAGGGCAGAAATCATAAAGGACTCATTTTGATATAGTAAAAGGAGAAAAGTAAAAATAGCAAATATAACCCAAAAAGCCTAAACACTTGTGGAGTTAAAAGCACTTCTCCTGGGCATGGTGGCTCATGCCTGTAATCCCAGCACTTTGGGAGACTGAGGCGGGTGGATCACTTGAGGTCAGAAGTTCAAAACCAGCCTGGCCAACATGGTGAAATGCCATCTCTACTAAAAAATACAAACATTAGCCGGGTATGGTGGTGGGCGCCTGTAATCCCACCTACTCGAGAGGCAGAGGCAGGAGAATTGTTGAACCCAGGAGGCAGAGGTTGCACTGAGCCGAGATCATGCCACTGCACTCCAGCCTGGGTAACAGAGCAAGACTCCCTCTCATAAATAAATAAATAAATAAAGCACTTCTATATACCTTATACACCATATTAAAAAGTGAAAACTTTGGCCAGGTACAGTGGCTCACACCTGTAATCCCTAGCACTTTAGGAGGACAAGATGGAATGATCACTAAGGCCAGGAGTTCAAGACCAGCCTGGCCAACAAAGTGACACTCTGTCTCTTCAAAAAAAAAAAAAAAAATTGTAATTTAGCCAGGCATGGTGGCATGTACCTGTAGTCCCATTGCAGCCTGGGGCACAAAGTGAGACCCTATTTTTTTAGAGTAAGTCTCTAAAAATAATACTAATAATAATAATAATAAAATAAGTAAATGAAAAGAAAAAATAAAAGGGAAAGGGAAAGAAAGAAAGCATCTGTAAATCAAAATCATGTAAGTAACACAGATCCAAACTTATGAGACATTCTCTGTCTTTAACGGTTGCAGACTAAACACTCGACACTCACTTTTCTGAACCCTCTAGAGTCTCTAAAATACAAGCTCTTTTTATTAAATGATAATTGGAAACAAAAAGGAGGGCTAAAAGTGGACTAGAAAGTTTGAGAAAATCTCAGATGACATGCACAAATAGAATTAAGACTGACAGAGAATCAACAAAGGAATCCCCTGTCTAAGAACCACAGGTAGACAGACGTTCCCAAGGAAGCCTCAGGGACTTGGAATAAACTAAGACAAAAACAAAGAATGAGCCACAAGACAATCATCAGATTAAACAACTGCACAAAGAAAAATTGTGTCCTTGTACAAGGAACAGTTGAGCCAATCAGATCCTGTCTCCTTTCCGTCTCCTTCCCCTGGTACACAGAATAAACCCTGCAGCCCTGGCCTCCTGGGTAAACGTGGAAAATCGTTCCTACAGTGAGCAATCCACCTTGCTCACTGGATGGATGGATGTGGGAAGCAGCGACTGTGGTCCTACAGATACTGAAGCGGGAAAGGGGTTAAATGAGGAAAGCCAGCTCCACTGCAAAGAAAAACCCACCCTGGCAATTGCAGAGGCCTCCAGCCTGCCTACTGATCTTCAGCCAGCTGGAATCCCAAATTAAACTCAACCAGTCAACAGGCCTCACATACCACATATCAGCCCTTTCTTTAAAGGAAAGGCTATTGGAGAAAGAGACTTAGGCACGAATAAAGGAAACTCGTATTGCCAACTTCTATACCAATCAATTTAATCATTTATTCATAATATAAACGAAGAAACAGAGATCACCAGGCATTTGAGAAATAAACAGCATTAAAAAGCAGGACCATGATGAAAAACAAGTGACCTACAAGTTCAAGACATAAGAATACAATGTTTATAATCTGAATTTTGTTCCCTTTTTTTCAAAGTCCAGGTTCCAGGCTTATATTATATAATCCTAATGTTTAGCCTTAAATATTAATAACAACATTTAATTCTAAATTCTGCTCCAAGACGAGGATTTTTATAATCCTAATATTTATCCTCAAATTCAAAAGTACACACCTAATATAGGCAGCTAGGAAAAAGGACCAATCAGAGAAAAAGAAAATGAACAAAAACTTTCAAATATGATTGTTGAAATTAAAAAATTAACTGGAAATCCTAAATAATAAAATGAGTGGGGATAAATATCAAGTTTGAGAGCTCAAAGATAAAGTCAAGGAAGAGCAATAAAAGAAGAAAGTTTGCATGGACACAAAGAGGGAACAATCGACACGGGGGCCTATTTAGGGTGGAGGGTGGGAGGAGGGAGAGGATCAGAAAAAATAACAATTGGTCCTTACCAAGCTTAGTGCCTGGGTGACCAAATAATTCATACAACAAACCCCCATAACATGAGTTCACCTATATAACAAACCTGCATGTGTACCCCTGAACCTAAAATAAAAGTTTAACAAAGAGACTTTGGCAGTTCTTCAAAAGGTTCAACACAGAGTTACCATTTTATCCAGCAATCTCACCACTGTAGGAGAAATAAAAACGTATATGTTCACACAAAACCCTGTGGACAAATGTTCAGAGCACCATTATTCATAATAGCCAAATGTGGAAACAACCCCAAATGTCCATCAAGACCACATAAGCAAAATGTGGAATAGCCATACAAAGATTATTCAGCTAGAAAAAGAATGAAGTACTCACACATTCCACCATATGGAGGAACCTTGAAAACATTATGCTAAATGACAGAAGCTAGACACAAAAGGCCACACACTGTATGATTCCATTTATATGAAATATCAAGAATAGCAAATCAGCTGACAAGAAGTAGATTAGTTGTTGCCAGGGGTTGGAGAAGAATGGGTACTGGGTTTCACTGGGTGAGAAAACTGTTCTGAAATTAGATAGTGGCGATGGTTGAACAGTTTTCAATATACTGACACCTACTGAACTGTACACATTAAAATGGTGAATTTTATGGTATGTGAATTATATCTCAATAAACAAGAGAAAGTGAGAAAGCAAAAGAAAATTTGAAAGAAGAGTCAAGAGACACAAACTCCCACACCCATCCTGTAGGGGTTTCAGGAACAGAAAAAGGATGAAATAGAGAGGAAGAAATCTAAGAAGTAATATGAAAGCTAAAGGAGGGGTGAAGAGGATAGGCATTGTGGCTTACACCTATAATCTCAGCACTTTGGGAGGCCAATGCAAGTGGATCACTTGAGGTCAGGGGTTCGAGACCAGCCTGGCCAACATGGTGAAAACCAATCTCTACTGAAAACACAAAAATTAACTGGGCATGGTGGCACACACCTGTAATCCCAGCTACTCAGGAGGCTGAGGCAGGAGACTCACTTGAACCTGGGAGGTAGAGGTTGCAGTGAGCCAAGATTACCCCACTGCACTCCAGCCTGGGTGACAGAGCAATACTCTATCTCAAAATAAATGGAAAGAAAAGAAGGGAAGGAAGGGATGGGAGAGGGGAAGGAAGGCATGGGAGAGGGGAAGGAAGGGGAAGAAGGGGAGGGAGGAAGGGAGAGAGGGAGGGAGGGAGGGAGGGAGGAAGGCAGGAAGGCAGGCAGGCAGAAGCAAATTAGTAAAAAGAGATGGCAGGAAGGCAGGCTGAAGCAAATTAGTAAAAGAGATTCCTAGAGACAATCTAGTAAAATTTACAGGCCTGGAATAAAAAGAAATGCTAACTCAAATAAGACACACAAAAGACGGGGTAAAAATAAAAGGTAAGGTTGACCCCCAAGTCCTACAGAGCTACAGTTAGTACAGGGAAGAGAGCTCAAACACCAAAGCATGGCACAGAGGTAAGCCACTGAGAGGCCTTGTTCAAAAGAAAGCAAAACAAAAAATCTATCAGCCAGGCATGGTGGCTCATGCCTATAATCCCAGCACTTTGGGAGGCCAAAGCAGGTGGATCACCTGAGGTCAGGAGTTGAAGACCATCTGGCCAACATGGTGAAACCCTGTCTCTACAAAAATACAAAAATTGCCAAGCATGATGGCAGGTGCCTGTAATCCCAGCTACACGGGAGGCTGACACAGAACAATCGCTTGAACCCAGGAAGCAGAGGTTGCAGTGAGCTGAGATCGCGCCACTGCACTCCAGCCTGGGCGACAGAGCGAGACTCCGTCTCAAACAACAAAAAAAACCTATCCAATGATAAAATATAATCAACCAAGAGGAGAACTACACCAAAGAAACAGGAAAACTGTGTTTTTAATTAAAAAATTAATGATGGATGAGCATTTACCTTATTCAAGTATAAAACTCTTATTTAAAAAATAGAAAAATTCTTCCTAAATTCATATCTCAAAAAGGCACTTGCCACAGTAAAAAGCGACCAGTGTAATGAGAGAAGATATTTACAATCATTTATCTGACACGGGGTTAATATCTAGAATATATAAAAAATACCTACAACTCTAAACAACATAAAACTCAATACAAAAATTGGCAAATGACTTGATTAGACCTTTCTCCAAATAGCCAACAATCAAACAAAAAGATGTTCAACATCAGTAGTCACAAAATACAAATCAAAACCATGAGATACTACTTCACACCCATCAGGATAGCTGTTAGCAAAAAACAAAAACAGAAAACACTAATGTTCGTAGCAGCATTGTTCACAATAGCCAAGAGATATAAACAAGCCAGTGCCCAACAACAGATGAAAAAATAAACAAACTGTGGTATATACATACAAAGGGATATGATTCAGCCTTAAAAAGGAATGAAATGCTGACACATGGTTAGTTACAACATGGATGAACCTTGCAAATGAAACCAGCCCAATTGTCCTATAGAACTGATGCTTACAGTCTTTTAAAATAAAGATAGAAATTGACCCTCCCAGTCTTAAAACTTGAGAAAGTTACATTTGTCTTATCTGAATTCCTTTTTTGGGAAACAAACCATAAGGCCTCCCAGATAGTTATCAAGGAACTGAAACTTACCACATCACCACATCTGAACCATAAGACACCAGACCACCTCACCCATCACAATTGCCTAACCAACTACCTGCTTCCTGTTGACCAACTCCTCTTCCTCACCCTTCCCTAACTCCTGTTTTCCCATACATGGTTACATTTCTTCCCTGCTAAATAAACCCCTGGTTTTAGTCAGTGGAGGTGACAAATTTGAGATTGATCTCCCATCTCCTTAGCTGCAGTACCCAGTTGAAGCCTTCTTCCCTAGCAACACTCATCGTCTCTGTGATTGGCTTTCTGAGCTGTGAGCAACAGGACCTAGACCAAACCCCTTGATGTTTCGGTAGCAATATGAGGTGCTCACCATAAGCAAATTCACCAGGATAGAATAAGTAGAGTATAGCTCACCAGGACTGGGGAAGGGAAAGGGGAAGTTACCGTTTAATGGGTAAAGAGCTTCTGTTTAAGATGACGAAAAAGTTCTGGAAATGAATAGTGGTGATGGTTATACAACAATGGGAATGAACTAAATGCCACTGTACACATAAAAATGGCTGAAATGGAACATTTTAAATTATGCATAATATACAATTAACACATTTTTAAAATTACACTATTACAATATTACTATATATGAATTATACCTCATAAAGTTGATTGGCAAGGATAGAAGGATACACAATTTGATAAATACTCAATGTTGGAAGTTCTAACAAAAGGCATTTTAAACACATTGGGATTATATATTGATACAATTTATTTAAGAGTATTTCAGCAATTTTTTAGAAGTCACAAAGATATTTACTGCCTTCTACCCATTTGTTCTAATTTGTTCTAATTCTATGAATCTTCCCTAAAGAGAAAAAGAAAATGTGGGCACAAAGATTTAATCTCAAATATGTTCATCAAAATGTTGTTTCCAACATTATAATACTATCCAAAATTAGTAAACAAAATGATCAGATATTCACAACATATAAAAAGTTTACCTTATTATGTATTTTATTTTAAAATGTTAATAACATTTAAAATACATAATATATATGTTACAGGGGAAAACAAACTTATAAAATTATATCACGTGATTCTAATTTTTTTATATGCAAAACAAAACTAAGGAATAAATATGCCTACTTCAAAAATAGTTATCTCACAGACTACGTTAAGGACCCTTTATCATATGCTATCAAGGTAATATAACCTGAGATCAGAGAAAACCTCACTAGAAGTGGCTTTGAATGGAGAAAGAGAATAAAAGAAGATTCCTACCAGAGAACTTGTCTACCTCAGTATCATTTTATTCAAATTAAAACAGTTTTACAATCAAACTTCAATTCTTAAAAGCAGAGGAAAAATAGTATGTGTGAATTTTGGTATCCAAGGGGATACTAGAACCAATCTCCGGGCTGATACAGAGGGATGACTGTACTTGGAAATGATTTGGAATGTCTGTTTGAAAATGTCAACAGGGGGCACGCCATTCAAGGGTATAACATGTTTTAAATAAAAGTGTTTAAATAAATATTTCATTGATTCATTTTTAATGAGCATACCATAAGCCTTCTCAAAGTATTAAATGCTCAAAGTATTAAATCCTACTTTCTATTACCAGATTTTACTTTGGGAGAGTAACATTACAAGATGTATAATAAGAATTACCCTTATTATTAAGCATTTTCTAAACTCCTATTGTTTCACCCATATTTTACCAGCATCGAAGAATAATTATTATACCACTGCCACAATTCACAAAATCCTTTCACCTCCGTTTTTTCATGTGCTTTTCCTAACAGTCATGAGATAAGCAAGCTTCATGATAATAACTGCAACTTCTACAACCCCAACCCCATTGTAAGTGAAATACCCACTAAGAATCAGGCACTATACAAGGTATCACATATTTACCTCATTCACAGTGGAATAATTACAAAAATCTATGAAGTAGTTATCTCATCTCCATCGAAATTTTACAGATGAGGAAACTTCGACTCAGCAATTAAAGTAATTGGCCCAGAACACAGATCTTTGATCCACACCCAGGTCTGTCTGAATCCTAAACCTATGTCATTTCCTTGTTCCACTCACCCTCCCCAGGAAACAGAGAATGAGAAAAAGATAATCATTTGGCCAAGTCTTACAGGCAACAGGAACCCAGAGCCTTCTAACACTTGATCTACGGTGCTTTCCACCTGGTATGCTGCTCCTATAAAAAGTAAGGACACTTCCTTCCATTGGGAGTTTATAAATCATAATCTCATTAGCTTATAAATAAAATCATAGGGAAGCTACGTGCTACATGAGGGACAGATAAGGGTGGCCAAGGGAAACTTTGAGGAAGTATAACTAAATTAATACACAGGGATCAGGGTTGAAGTATTTTATAACCAATACTCAAAACAGTAACAGTTAGCCTGGCGCAGTGGCTCACTCCTGTAATCCTAACACTTTGGGAGTCAGAGATGGGAGAATCACTTGAGCCCAGGAGTTGGAAACCAGCCTGGGCAACATAGAGAGAGACCTTGTCTCTATGAAAATAAAAAAACAAGAACAGTTAATAAAGTTTCCAGGAGTAGCTTAGATAATCCCAGAATTGTATATTAGGAGAAGGGTTATTTTTAAATATTCTAAAATTTATAATTGGAATGCCCATAAAAATTGCCTATGAGTAGAGTCATCATTATGTCAGAAAAATTTATGATAATTATTTAGGACTGTGCTTTTGATAAGTATGTATGCTATAACTACTTAATAAAGTCATGAAAAATAATTTTTAAAATATAAATGTTACTTACATATCCCAGTTTGGAGCTATCCGCAAATACTGGATTAGCAATTAGAACTAGAATAAAAAATTTAAATATAAAAAAAGAAAAAATTAAAATATTTAACTCACACAACACAGAAAGTGACAGCAAAGTTAAAAACTCAGATCTTTATAAAAAGGAAATTTATGCTGTATACCAAAAATGATATTTACTAAATTACAAAGGCACTTGTATATGAATAAGATTAAAATAGAAACTAAGAACAGTACTTTTAGTTTCTCCTACCACTTTATATTCTCTAAATGACTGCCCTTACCTGATAGACACACACCAACTATCGAAAAAAGTAACCTTAATACTATCCTGGGAGCAAATGAACTTAAATTTTTTCAAGCCAATTCCCAAATGAGGGCCCACTACAGAAAACACCTCTGAACCACCGTAATTCCTTTCTGAGGATGACTCCAAAAACTCTGCCAATCGATGCTAAACATGAGCCCAAAGAAACAAAAAACAAAAAAACGCTGACAAATTCCCATAAGCTTACCAATGGACCAAGATTGTCCAAAACGTAATATTCCCAGAGGATAGGAAAAAAATGTCTTAGGGGGTTGATGTCTGCCTTCAATGTCACAGCAGAAACCTTGCAGTTTACCAGATGACCCAGTAAAGGAACCAACACCCACAACCCATTCCACATGGGCAGTTCATTCCAGTCACTGATGAGAAGGGAAAAGGTCTTATGATATCACGTTTTGTTTTGTTTTGTTTTGAGATGGAGTTTCGCTCTTTTTGCCCAGGCTGGAGTGCAATGCCGCAATCTCGGCTCACTGCAACCTCTGGCTCCCAGGTTCAAGTGATTCTCCTGCCTCAGCCTCGCCAGTAGCTAGGATTACACGAGTGCACCACCACGCCCGGCTAATTTTGTATTTTTAGTAGAGATGGGGTTTCACCACGTTGGCCAGGCTGGTTTCAAACTGCTGACCTCAGGTGATCCACCCGCCTCAGCCTCCCAAAGTGCTGGGATTACAGGCATGAGCCACTGCGCCTGGGCTAATTTCACATATTTTTTTTTTTTTTTGAGACGGAGTCTCGCTGTCGCCCAGGCTGGAGTGCAGTGGCACAATCTCAGCTCACTGCAGGCTCCGCGCCCCTGGGGTTCACGCCATTTTCCTGCCTCAGCCTATATATTTTTTTAAAATCTTACAAGTTAACATAAAATGGAAATCTAAGTATTACAAACAACAACAACAGAAAGTTCAAAATCACCATCTACTCTCATCTACTTTAAGACCTAAGGATTAAGCAGACGATAATTTGCATAAACCTAAAATCATGATAAATCAGTTTTTTCATGGTAGTTAAATCAAATTGCTATTTTAGCACTTGTTTGAGCCTCTATAAAAACATACATTTAAATGCATAAGTCATGTCACAGAGGCCTACCAGCGGGGAAAGGAGAAGCCTGGTGGCCACCTCCTGGTGACCAGCCACCATGCACAAATAGCAAAGGAGATTAAACTTGGCTCAGGAGGTCCCCGAGCTCTTCTCACTGGAGTCGATCTGCGAGCACACTTGTTACAAAAAGTCATTCCAATCTTGGTCTTTCAGAAATTATAACTTATCCACTGCCAAGGAAAGAAAATAACAGAAGTATGATGATGAGAAAAACAACTGCTGGAAACATTACATGAGAAACACAGAATTACGACAACTAAGATGAGGATAAAGAAAACATTACACTGTCAAAATCAAAAATACTCCAAAGATGACACTACTTCTATTTGTCCTTCTATATTTCCCATCTCTTTATCTACACATGGAAACTTTTTAACCACTTCAATGGAAAACTATGCTTTCAAATAAAGCAGATGTCTAAAGCAGAATTGTCCCACAACCTAGACTATAACAAAATGTAAAGTTGAATACGACTGAAGTAAAAGACAAAAGAGCCTTTGTATAAATAAATCAACTCTCAAATATTGAGAAAAGCACAAATCCCAGTTATTAAAAAGTTCCAATAAAATCACTGTAAAAAAATAACGAGGATAACATGATAGCTAAAATCACCTGAAATTTTAGCTCCAAATCCCTATACAAAAAAAGGGCAAAATCTAGGAAATGTGATACCCCCTAAAATTAACATATTTTTGGCTGATCTCAATCTTTAGACAAAAGAAATTGTAAATATAATTTCCTAAATAAACCAAAGAAGAAAAAATAAATAGTATTTCCAGGTAATAATTCTCTAGGTTTGCATAAATAGACCTACTTGGCACTGAAAGCACTATTAATATTTTGCTTCACTTTGGTCTTTCAAAAACATCCTTCACAGGTTTTTTTGGTTGTTTTTATCGGTAATTAGGTTGACTGATACAAACCCTTAGCTAGTTTATTTAAACCTAAATATATTTTAAATTTATTTCAAATCATAGATTCTAATCTAGCCACAATGAATAATTTTCCCCAAATTGAGTTTAACAGCTTAAAATATAATTTGTTAAAAAAAAAAGTTTAAGGTATGTAAAAATTTCTGACTTTCACCCTAAATAAGATTTTCATTAGCTCAACAGAAATGTAATAATTATCCCTTAAGTATCTCCACTCCCACACCATCTCCACAGTCATGAACCACCTAGTCCCGTTCTCAAATGTCCTGGTCCCGCCAATAGAATCCCAATCCTTCCTTGTTGTCCCCAACCCTGTGCACCTACACCTGCCATAAATGGTGGAAATTCAACCAGCTCTATGAACGGAAGGGAGGAGGCCCCCCACCCACTCTACAGGAAAACTTGCCCAGATCTACAGGAACCTCCCCACACACAAGAGGACAGGGCAGCCCAGACTCATGTCAACAGCTGGCACAAATGAATTACAGATTACTTACAATTCACATAACACTGACCCAAGAATATAACCAATTGTCAAGACAAAATAAATTTAGTTATTCACATACAAATATTCCATTTGTGAATAAATTTCATATTCGTATCTGTATACAGACAGTCTACATGTTCGATAAGTCCTTTATGATCCTACCTGAAAATGCTGGTAGATGCAATATTTTTGGATCAAATTTAACCGATGGTGGTTGTTTCATTATCTGTGGTTAAAAAAAATAAAACCTTTTGAGACAATTTTTGAGATTGATATGTCTCCTTATATGTCCCTTATATCAGATAATAAATCAATGAGGACAAAAAAAGAATGTGTAAAATTTGTTACCAAAAACAATAAGAACGATGCCTTTTCAGATTAAAACATACAAATATAGATAATTTATTTTAAAAAATCATTTCAATTGATATCTGTAATAAAATAAAGCTTCAAAGAAAAAATTCACCCCTATCTTGGCTTACTCTTTAGATAATTTACCTCTAATTAGAAATTCAGTCATTCAACAAATATCTATTGGGTACCGTGCCAAGGTAAGGCTCTATGCCAAGTGCTAAGGGGGATACAAAAATATAAAAGACACAATCCTATTTTCAGAGAGCTGACATTCTGGTTGGGAAGATGAGACAAACATTTGATAAACAACAAAATATTTCACAATTCAAAAGAGGCAGGACATAACTACAGACAAAACCCTGGACAGAAAGAATTTTTTTTTTTTGTAAATAGTAGTTTAGAGAATACAGCAAGCACTTTACTTGATATAGTTGGCACTGGGTTTACAGAAGAGGTATAAGGTGGGTTGAGGTCTTGAAGGATGGCTGGAACTTTATGGTTATATCAGAGAAGACTCCATTCAAGGAAGCCATAATAGCATGAATTGGAAAGTGCACAATTTGAGAAATGTGAAGAAACCATGTAGTTGGATCCATGAGCTTCGGACAGCCAGATACTGCATCTTGAGACTTTTAATTAAAAATTCAACCATCATTTCTATACCTAACTTCTGCAAAACTTCTATATGTAATATTTCTTAAAACCTTTACTAATTAAGTAACCAGCATTACTGTATTTACTGCAGTATTCTTACTAAAATGCATATTCCCATTCTAATCTCATAATCCAAATTCATAATCTCATTCTAATCATGAGAAACCCTTAGACAAACCTAAATTAAGGGACATTCTTCAAAACACCCAACCAGTTACTCTTCAAAGTGTCAAGGACTTGAGTCATACGTTTTATAACATGTATTACAAAAACATACAAAGGCCAGGTGCCGTGGCTCACGCCTGTACGCCCAGCACTTTGGCAGGCCTAGGCAGGCGGATCATGAGGTCAGGAGTTCAAGACCAGCCTGGCCAACATGATAAAATCCCGTCTCTACTAAAACTACAAAACTTAGCCAGGCGCAGTGGCAGGCCCCTGTAATCCTAGCTACTCAGGAGGCTGAGGCAGGAGAATAGCTTGAACCCGGTCGGCAGAGGTTGCAGTGAGCTGAGATCACACCACTACATTCCAACCTGGGTGACAGAGTGAGACTTCATCTCAAAAAAAAAAAAAAAAAGAAAACTGTCAAGGTCATGAAAGGCAAGAAAAGTCTGAGAAATTCTGACAAAACCATGAAAGACTAGGACAGATTATATGAGACTAAGGGGGCATAACAACAAACTGTAATGTGGCATCCTGGAAGAAAACAAAAAGAATATTAGAGGCAACTGGTAAAATTCAAATAAATTTGATAGTTTAGTTAACAGCACTATTCTCATGTTTTATTTTTCCTTTTACAGAAAGAATGTAAAAGGAGCAATCAGGGTACTGCACACCATCATTACACAGACATATGAATCAAGTATCATGCAACTCCAACTACCACATTCTACTGCCCTCCAATAGCAGCAATTAGATTCAAAGCCTTAATTTCTATCCCAAGCAACAACCGAAATCACTTAATTTCTGGTTAGAAACTTCAAGTGTCAAATAACCCAACTCAGCTAAGAAAAAGCATTCATTTCTTACTTTTGACTTGCCAATTAAAGGTCAGCTTAAGCATTACTTTTATATTAGAGCTTTTCTTTAAACTCTTTTAATAATACAAGGCAGGGATAGGCACCATTGCAGACTGGAAAAAGAACAAGATTTGGAGACAGGCTTGAGTTTGCTCCATCACTTACTAAATGGCTTTAGGCTCTGAAAACGGACTTCTATGATGAATATTACTGTTATCTATATAAAATATTTAGTCAGTATCTAGTACATAATACTAATTAATGGTATTATAAAAAATAAGCTATTGGCAAACAAGTTGGAATCTGAGTATTTGAGATATACCTGCTGGCCAACTGCTACCCACCTGACTCCTGAATGTAATTTGTTCAATATTTTTGGCAAGTAAACAAAAACTAATTATTCTATAACACATTCCTAATCCCTTGGCTGCTGCTGTGTTCCATGCAAATAATTACTGGTACAACAGAAGCTCAATTATTTAACACCATTTATATTATGAAATCAACTATAGTAAACAATTACAAAAGAAGTAAAATAGTTATGAACAAAGGCTCCATATACATTTATGTTTGAATCACACCCAGGACACATTCAACAAACATGAACCCTCTCAATTCATCTGAGTTATTAATAAAGAATTCACAAAGTTTCCCAGAGACATTCACATTTTTTCAATTATGAAAACGGAAAAAAATACAACCACCTTAGAAACTTTTGGGTGCATTTAGCTAAAGAAAATTTTGGAAGCCAATATTATACATCTAAAGTGTCATAAGTAGCTTTATTCTAGGGCTGCAGTCTAGTCACTTTAAAAATGTGTCCAGCCAGGCACCGTGGCTCACGTCTGTAATCCCAGTATTTTGGGAGGCTGAGGAGGGCAGATTGCTTGAGGCCAGGAGTTCAAACGAGCCTGGCCAACATGGTGAAATCCCATCTCTACTAAAAATACAAAAATTAGCTGGGTGTGGTGGTGCATGCCTGTAATCCCAACTACTCAGGAGGCTGAGGCACAAGAATCACTTGAACATCGGAGGTGGATGTTGTAGTGAGCCAAGATCATGCCACTGTACTCCAGCCTGGGAGACAGAGCGAGACTCCGTCTCAAAAAATAAAAATAAAAAAATGCGTCAATGGTCGCAGAAGGCACAGTCAGAATATATGGAACAATGCAAATTTATCACATCTGTAAGAAAATTATGGCCAGGCATGGTGGCTCATACCTGTAATCCCAGCACTTTGGAAGACCAAGGCAGGTTGATCAGCTGATGTCAGGAGTTCAAGACCAGCCTGGCCAACGTGGTGAAACCCCGTCTCTACTAAAAATGCAAAAGAAAATTAGCCAGGTGTGGTGGTGGCCACCTATAATCCCAGCTACCTGGGAGGCTGAGGCAGGAAAATCGCTTGAACCTGAGAGGTGGTGGCTGCAGTGAGCCGAGATTGTGCCATTGCACTCTAGCCTGGGCAACAAGAGCAAAACTCTGTCTCAAAAAAAAAAAAAAGAGACAATTATGAATAGATACTCTATGGACTACAGACTAATGTTGTCTTTATATATTTTTAAAAGCATCATATTTTTTATAATCTAAACTTAGAAATCAATCTATTTTCAATTTTGCAAATGGAATTTGTTGAATTGTGGCTGAGAAAGTAGGGTCAAAGAAAAGTGGTGTAAAAATAATACGATTATTATTGTTGAACTTTTAAATTTTTTTATTAAAAAATTCATTGATTAGGCAAGCTCAAACTAAAAATAGAACAAGACTGTTTAACCTCTGTTTTGGGAGCTTGGAGGAGGAGAAGAAGGAATCAGTATGTTCATTCCTTGGGGAAAATGTAATGCTAATAAGCAAAGGCAGGTAGAACTACAACTCCCATTTGCCATTTGGAAAAAGTCCTCCAAACTGCAAAGGCTTTTAAATATTCAAAAAAAAAAAAACTGAACTATGTTACTTAAAAAAGTTTAAGTCTCCAACCTGTGAACACTGCAAAAGCTACAGACATAAGCTTCAGAGTTACTATCATCACATTTCAATGAGCCCTAGAGAACCTGTGAGGAAGTGTTTTTTCTGGAAAACCTCAAGTTGCTATTCTGTTCAACTTCTCAATAAAACAAATAAGAACCCTTTTGGACAACAGAAAAAAGAGACAGGCTTTGGGAAGGAACTCATATAACTCAGATAATGAATCAAAAATGAAACTTAACATTGTCTGAAACCAACAAAATAAAAATCTAAAATAATCAGAGATCACTCACATTTTGACTAAATGTAAGATAAATGAGATGGAGGACCCTGGGCTTAGAGTTTCATTTCATTTTTGGTTGATCGTAAGGTTAATATGAGCCAACTTGAATTCTGTATATGCTAAAAGAGCCAATTGAATCTAAGACCCAGACTAATCTCCGGATTAGCATGATCATACTCTATTACTCTCTGAAGGCTCTGGTTGGCCACATTAGAACTTGTAGTTAATATGGAAGAAAATGGCTGGGCTGGTAAGGGATCTGGAAGCCATGGCACAAGGAACAGCGTCAACAAAGTTCTAAAGCTTTTACAAAAGGTACTTGAGTCTAAAACTTTAAAAATACCCTCATTTTCAAACCATAACCTGCAATAGTAACGCTCCCACTTGGGAATCAGACATGATCAAACATCTGGCAACCTCAATTCAACAAATGACAGCAATAAAGCCACAGCTATAGACCCAGATGTAACTATAGCAGGATTCAGGATGTCTAATCACATAAAACCTAAGCATCAATGCTATCACCAGAAGCCCAAACTACTACTCTGGGTTATCACAACTTTCAATAGATGTTGTCATAACACACACACACACACACACACACACACACACACACACTCTATATTGAAACACTGTCTATTTTAAAAGGCAGGGGGTTTTATAAAAATTCATAGGTTGGATAAAACAGAATAAAGTTCTAGTTCCTAAGGGTGGTATTATTAATATGAAATTGCACTGTGCCCAGAATAGGCACTCATTTTAATCTTTACAATCCATTTATATAAATTCTATTTGCTACCTGATACTGGTATAGAACTGCTATTGAAGAGATTACTTGGCAACAGCTCAAAGTTAAAATTGTGCTTGATGGACTTCCTTTTCTTACTTGAGAAACCATGAGAAGAATCTACTGGCATGGCAATTTACACTTAGCATTTGGTGTAAGAATCACTGGTGATTCAGATAGCTGGGCTGAAAAAATATCAAAACAAAACCAACTTCTTGCTTCTACTGCAGAGTTGACAACATATAAAAGCTTTACATAATTTCTTCTTATAAAGCTATTACTTAGAGCTAAACAAAAAATGAGAATATATTTACATCATCAGTTAAGTAGATGTTGTTTAACTAAAACACTCTGCAATTACTTAAATGAAAATAAGGAAGTCGCAGAGGCAAGACTCTTAAGAGACAGCAGTTACTTAAATCTAACAGACTAAAAGATGCATATGATATACATTAAAGAATATTAATGTAAGGAAGAAATTACAATCAAGGAGTTGAAACAAAAACTAATCTAAATATTATTTTTGCTTTTCATCATAAGTGAGTATTAACCAGTTCATTTCTTCACTCTAGAAAACAGAAGATCATGTTGACTCTTACTGGCTGAATAATTTCAGCCACAAGCAAATTAGGATAAAAAATTGAAATATACAATAATGAACTTCTAGTCCTAAGATAAAAATGAGGTTGAACTATTTTCACACGTTCAATAGCATCTAAATTACAAACAGAAAAGCATGATTAAGAAGATTAAAGACATAGGAAACTAAAAAAATTTTTGCCTACAATTTTGGGTTCATTATAGCCTATGTAATTAGCAATGTCACAACATAGTGTGTATAGTACAGTATGACTATTAAAAATAATATTTGATTTGATTAAACTAAATTTGATTACTAAGTTAGGCAATTATTATTGTAATTGTATTTTATAGAATACTATACAAATTTTAATTTAAATAAATGCATATAATAAATACCTACCAATTCTTTCTTGTTGAGGTGTAATAGAAGGTGTTCTGTTAGGTTTAAATTTATTTAGTGCTCCACTAACAAAATCTGAAATGCAAGACATAAGCAATTACAACTTCACATTTACTTGTCTTTCACCAATAATTCATATTAATATTTGCGGTCTTCTTTCAACATGTAACTTTACATCGGCTTATAAATTTTAAGTTATTTAAGAGGAATTATTTCAAAATAGGAAAAATACTAAAGGATATATTTTTATTCCATTCCCCACTTATACTTCCATATCCCTAAAATAAAAAAGACATAATACAGAAAGAAATGTAATACAAATACATATAATGTACAGTAAGGGTAGGGAAAAAGAAATCATTACATGTTAAGGCAAAAGATGAAGGTCTGAACTGAGGCAAGAACCATGGAAATGGAGGCACGAATAAAAGTATTTAAAAGATCAGTAGAGATGGAAGTAAAAACATTATATCAATAAATAATGTAAGCAAATGAATAAAAGTGTCTGGAAAATAAATAACACCGTTTGACTAAAGTTGCTCAAAGACAGGAAATAGTAGACAGGTAGACAGATTGCTAGAGCAATCCTATGAAAGACCTTTAATGCCAAGCTATAAATATCCCTATTACCAATTAAAATTTCTGAAGGGTATGTGTGTGAGATACTTGAGTAGAGTTATACATTTAAAATGTAAGCCTTGGCCAGGTGCAGTGGCTCACACCTGTAATCCTAGCATTTTGGGAGGCCAAGGCAAGCAGATTACTTGATGTCCGGAGTTAGAGACCAGCCTGGCCAACACAGTGAAACCCCCTTTCTACTACATATACAAAAATTAGCCAGGCATGGTAGCGTGCACCTGTAATCCCAGCTACTTGGGAGACTGAGGCAAGAGAATCGCTTGAACCCAGGAGGTGGAGATTGCAGTGAACCAAGATAGCATCACTATACCCCAGCCTGGGTGACAAAGACAGACTCCGTCTCAAAAAAAAAAAAAAAAAAAAAGTGAGCCTTAATAGCAATATGTAGGGTAGATTCAAGGAGGAGGCATAAAGACCAAGAAGATTCTTTTTTTAATTTTTATTTTTGAGACGGAGTCTCGCTATGTTGCCCAGGCTGGAGTGCAGTGGCCCGATCTCAGCCAACGACAACCTCCGCCTCCCAGGTTCACACCATTCTCCTGCCTCAGCCTCCCAAGTAGCTGGGACTACAGGCGCCCGCCACCACGCCCAGCTAATTTTTTATATTCTTAGTAGAGACGGGGTTTCACTGTGTTAGCCAGGATGGTCTCGATCTCCTGACCTCATGATCCGCCCACCTTGGTCTCCCAGAGTGCTGGAATTACAGGCGTAAGCCATCGCACCCGGCCAAGAAGATTCTTACAGTAACAATGCAATAAACACTATGGAGATAGAATCTTATATGACACAAAAACTGTCTGATTATAGATGGTAGAGGAAGAGGTAGAACCCATGGTTAAAGCCTGAGTTATCTAGGGAATAGTGGTGCTGTTAGAAGAAAATGGAATTCACACAGAACCAGGATAAAGAGGATAAAGATGGTCATTTCAAAACGTTAAGCTTAAAGCACCAATGAAAAGCAGATGTGATGAGGTCTCCCTAGCAAGCCATTAGTAAAGTGGAACTGACATTTTCAAGATAACGGTGGTACAGATGTGGTGGTTATCTATTTAGATGTGATAACTGAAACTACAGGACTGGTGATAACTGAAACTACAGGACTGGGAAAGAGGGCAATAAAGATGATCTGCATCTGAGAAATATCTCCATTTGGGATAGGAAGTTTTATGGGTTGCATTGTGTTCTCCAAAAAACCTATGTTTAAGTCCTAACCCCCAGTTCCTATGAAGGTGACCATACTTGGAATTCGTGTCTTTACAGATGTACTCGAGTTAAAATGAGGTCATTTGGGTGGGCCCTAATCCAATGTGCCCTGTAAGAGGGAAGTTCTGACACAGAGCAACACCATGGGATGACATAGGCAGGGATTGGAGTGACGCGGCTGCAAGCCAAGGAATGCTAAGGACTGACAGCCACTACCAGGAGCCAGGAAGAGGCAAGAAAGGATTCTCCCCTGCAGGTTTCAGGCATTCTGCCAACACCTTGATTTCAGACTTCTGGCCTCCAGAACGGTGAGACAAATTTCTGTTGGTTTAAGCCACCTAGTTTGTAGTACTTTGCTACAGTAGCCCTAGGAAAATCATACATAAGTCATCAGTATTATCCTATCTACAAAGGAGGTAAAGAAGAAACACAAGTATGCAATAACAAATAAACCAAAAGATGAAAAAGGGATTGGGATAGTTAGTAACATTTGGTTCTGATATTCAAAAGATAATAAATTTCCTAAAGTAATTGGAAGAATAATGGCCTCTGATTTCTTGATCAAGGAGATTGCAAGTTTTATTACCAACTCTACCATCTTATGATGGTCTTTTGGTCTTTCTGATTCTTCCTTGATAATATTTCCTTCATTATTTAGTTCGTACTCCTAACTAACTAATCCATGTCACTAACAAGTTCAAACAATAATCTCATGCCTGGACTACTGACACACATTGCTGACCATTCTCCCTACTTCCAAGTCTCAATTCTTCAAATCAGGTAATTTTCTAAAATTTTTAAATCATATCATGCCTCACATCATAAATCTTCAATGATTCACCAACACCCAGGTTAATATTCTAATTCTTTAGCCTGGCATTAAGTTTACCATAATACCATCCTTTATCCTTATGCTGAACACTTCACTCAAGTCATACTGCGCTATCTACATTAGACATAGGTTACTTCTTCCCTACACAAACCTTTCTTCATAGCATCCTTCTCATCTAGAATAGGATACAAGTATTCTGATCCTCCACCCAATCCCACTAAATTCTATCCATTATTCAAGAAGGTTCAGTTTGGCTCCTCTTTGACAAGTCCCTGATAATTACAATCCAGGGAGCTTTTCTCCTTTTAACACATTTTATGTTTGTGCTAAAGATGTAGCACTTAACATTAGATTGTACTATCGCTTTAACTTTTTACACGCATACGTCCTATCTTTCCAGCTGTGCTTTAAGCACCAAAAAGGCACATACCACAGTTCATGCTTCTTTATGTGAAATGTACTTTCGATTAAAGCAAATCACTGTACCTCCATAAAATGGGACCACCACTTACCTCCTACACGTTGTCTTCTCTTTCTCTTATATTCACCAGGAGTTTCATATTCACCTTCTTCAAAGCCTTCCAGTGATGGAGTAGCACAGAGACCATCAATACCCAACATGGCTGGTATCTTTTCCAGGATAAAGTCTGGTACACGCCCTAAATGAAAATGTTCACAAGTAAGACAATTATTATCCTTCCTCCACTCTTCCCCAAAAATGTTTAGATACTAATATACCAATTTCTTTTCTTTTTTTCTTTGCAGGAGGGGCCGGTACTGTAGGGTGGGGGTGAGGTCAGTAATATACCAACTTTCTAACAGTTGCCTTCATAGTTCCTTTGAAAGAAACAGAGATTTTCCTCATTTAAACAAATTCTGTTAATAATGCAACTACATCTTACCAATATCTGATGCATAATCGATAAGAGTCTGTACTACTGCAGCCTGTAATCGTACCTTCTTTTCTGCGTTAGAAGACATCTTTTCATGTCCTTCACTTGTCTGAAGAAGATTTGGTGCAAATATTACTGCAAGATTGCTGCTATCCATCTTATTCTCACTGGATCTTAAGTGAATAAACGCTTTATTAGATGGAGCCAAACGTGAAAATACAGAAGAGTTAAAATAACGTATGTAGTACATTTTGAAGACTTTATTATCAGTCATACACAAGTCAAAATAGTTACCCTTCATCTACATGATTGGCTTGAACACAAGAAAGAACCAGAAATATATAGCCTCTCTATATTTAAATATGTATTCTAAAAACCATGCTAATCTTAGAGTTCATACTTTGCTTTTCCACACAAATTGAACATCTTTATCTGATTTTCAGACCTACACATAAAAAGTTGGAAGTATCAGAAGGCAGCAAGTATGTCTAGAATAAGCAGGCTCACTGACAGCAGGGAGAGGGAAATTTTGAAAAGCAAAACAGAAATATTTTAAAAACCCAGTAAACAAAGGCTTTCAGTGGACAATGAATCTTATAAACACCAATGATGAACCATTAAGGCATTCATGATGATGACTTTAAGATAAGGAAATATTAAATCATTTGGTATGCTGTTTCTTAAATTAGAGTATACTCCTCATAGTAATGAAATATGGAATTTTTAAAGAAAAATTTCCATTCCAAATGAAATTGTACATATCTACAAGCATAAAACGTTAGTTGAAAAATTCAACTATTATTTGCCAAGAGTTTTAATTACCACTTACCTAAGAGAAACATTCCTGAGAAAGTTAAAGAAGTATCTTAATACATGAACTGTGTGGTCAGCCAGAAGACAGGAGAGCAACAGTATAGCTTTATTCTTTTCCTCTGTGCCTAACTGTTGAGCTTTCAAAAGTGCTTCATGCAAATCAGCTGGGAGAATGGGCTCTGGCAGTTCCCTAAAAAACTGCTTAAGAAGTCCCGCAATATCACAAGGAGGTGCAGAAGATAGGCAACCTTCACCATGATCCACTTTATTCTGAAATAAATATAATAATCTTGAGTATTTTGGCAACTTAAGAGTTTATTGCAAATAAAGAATCTTTTGTTATACTCTAATTACACTTTTCTTTAATAAATTTCTCTTAACTCTTATTTTAATATATGTCACTACTTTATTTTTAATGATTTTTGAATTTATTTTTATTTTTATAGAAATGTGGCACAGACTATGTGGCCTGGGCTGGCTTCAAACTCCCAGGCTCAAGCAATCTTCCTGCCTTAGCCTCCCAAGTAGCTGGGACTACAAGCATGTGCCACCACACTCAGCTATATCACTCCTTCTAGAAGGCTAACAACAATATAACTTAACACATTTTTTCATTTTACATAATACTTGATAGAAATAAGGACCATGAATTTAAAAGTACCCTATTAAATTTTTAAAGCACGATAGAAATAATATACCATTTCTTTTGGAAAAAAAAAAATCTTCTGCCATGAAAAAAATGCAAATTCAATTTCTGTCAACTATTCATATTAATAGTTCTAAATATTTCAGTTTTAAAAACCAAATCAGAAAATGGCTCAAATGAAAAATTATAGTTCAACAATATGCTCACCTTTAGTGCTTTTAGGCGAATCACAGATCCTGATTTCCGAAAAAGCCCTTCGGTATGAATATGTTCTTCTAAAGATGTGCAAGCATCGACAAGAAAGCTGAAAGAGAGATTTTTTCAGGTGGCTAGACATACATATCACATCCTATTCCTCTGCTAACATACATGAGCAGGCCAAGCACTACAGACCTTTCAGAGGCTCTAAAGCCACAAATCTCTGTAGTCTTTGAGATGAAATGTTACTTTTAGTTGTCTACTTGCTTTCCAAATTCTTCTCCAAGGCCCATCTTTTTACTTATAACAACTCCAATATGCACACTAAATTTTATCTTTCTCAATCCTACTTCATTTCTGCTTCCCTTCAGAGCGTAAGACTTGTCTTTTTTTTCTGCCTCTACTTCTTCATATCTCAGTCTCTACTCACCCCTATCCAATCATTCTCATACCTCATTACTCCAAAGAAATAGCTCTCTTCAAGCTCACTAACAGCCTCTGCCTTGCCAAATCCATGGTCAGTGTGTTGTCCTCGTATTGCTCGATCTATCACCATTTGACACACCTGATCCCTTCCCTGTTCATCTCAAAAATACTTTTTCACTACTCTTTTAGTTTTCCTGCTATCTCCCTGCCTGCTCCTTCTCAAATTCCTTTTCTCACTCCTCTTATGTGAAACCTCTACATGCTGGAACAACCCAGGGCTCCGTCCAAGGCCACCTTCTTTTATCTACTATCTCTTCATGGGTGATTTTCTCATCTCCTACATCACCCAAAAACAGGGCGAGGTTTTTTTTCCTCACCCCAACATTATCCCTCAGAAAAGTAGGATATATCCCAGTCCTTACAAGCCTTTTCATATTAAGGGGAATGTGCTCAATTTCTTTATTTTGAACAATGTTCAAATAAATCTCAATGTTGGCTTTAGATACCTAGATATTGAACAGCTGGGACCCACAAATTAGAATGAATATCGGCTACCAACAATTGATACAGCTGTATTGGTGCACAGTGGCTGAATGTCAGCCTTATTTACAGAAGGTAACTGACAAAACAGTCTTTTTAATTAAATAAAAAGTAGGTCATGAAATTGCAATGAAGATTTAGTCATGATTCCTGGGAATATGACTTTGCAATTCCAGACGCCGAAAATCTGCTTTTTTTTTTTCTTTTAGTTTTTGAGACAGTGTCTCGCTCTGTCACCCAGGCTGGAGTGGTGCGATCACTGCTCACTGCAACCTTTGCCTCCTGGGCGCAAGTGATCCTCCCACCTCAGCCTCCCGACTAGCTGGGACTATAGGCACACATCACTACGCCCAGCTAATTTTTCTATTTTTTGTAGAGACAAGGTTTCACCATGTTGCCCAGGCTTGTCTTGAACTCCTGGGCTCAAGCAATCCACCACCTGGGCCTCCCTAAGTGCTGGGATAACAGGCATGAGCTCCTGTGCCCGGCCTGTTGAAAATCATTATAGGTGTTCATTATAAGAAAATCAAGCCTTTCATAGGTCATTTAAAGAGCAAAATGGTTAAGCGGTTACCTAAGAAGACAGTGAATCTAGACCTATAGGATGAATGGGGGGAAACTGTCCTAAGGCAACCAGGTGTTCGATAATTGCTTTTGGATGACATGTCAATTAAAACCTAGATTATTGGTCTATAGTAGCCCAAATGAACCCTACTTTAGATGGAGGGGAAATGAATTAAGGATAAGTTTCATCATATGCATTTTTAGATTACATTCTTTTTTTTTTCTTTTTTTTTTTTTTGAGACGGAGTCTCACTCTGTCGCCCAGGCTGGAGTGCAGTGGTACAATTTTGGCTCACTGCAAGCTCCGCCTCCTGGGTTCATGCCATTCCCCTGCCTCAGCCTCCCGAGTAGCTGGAACTACAGGTGCGTGCTACCACGCTCAGCTAATGTTTTGTATTTTTAGTAGAGACGGGGTTTCACCGTGTTAGCCAGGATGGTCTGGATCTCCTGACCTCGTAATCTGCCCGCCTCGGCCTCCCAAAGTGCTGGGATTACAGGCGTGAGCCCCCGCGCCCGGCTAAATTATATTCTTAAAACATAAACTTTCCTAGTAATTTCTGATGCAGTTAGAATAGGCCAGCACAGTGGCTCACGCCTGTAATCCTAGCACTTTGGGAGGCTGAAGCAGGTAGATCACCTGAGGTCAGGAGTTTGAGACCAGCCTGGCCAACATGGTGAAACCCCATCTCTACTAAAATACAAAAATTAGCTAAGTGTGGTGGTGGACACCTGTAATCCCAGCTACTCGGGAGGCTGAGGCAGGAGAATCACTTGAACCCAGGAGGTGAAGGTTGCGGTGAGCCGAGATCACGCCATTGCACTCCAGCCTGGGCGACAAGAGCGAAACTCTGTCTCAAAAAAAAAAAAAAAAAGAACAAAAGGTTATTTATAAATAGTAAGTGGCATAGAAAAGCTAAGTGATACATAATACATTTTCACAAACACTCTAATATCTTAGCTTAAATATTCTTTTATCCAATATTTGTTTTCAAGAGACAGGGTCTCACTCTGTTGCCAATGCTGGAGTGCAGTGGCAATGAGCATAGCTCACTGCAGCCTCAAACTCCTAGGGTCAAACAATCATCTGCCTCAGCTTCAGGAGTAGCTGGGACTACAGGGGTGTACACCACCTTGCCCAGCTGATTTTTCTTTAAAATTTTTTTTATACATGGAGTCTTGCTTTGTTGCCCAGACTGGTCTCAAAATCCTGAGCTCAAGCGATCCTCCTGCCTCGGCCCTCAAAATGCTGGGATTATAGGCATGAGCTACTGTGCCTGGCCAATATTTTTTTAACAAACAAAAAAAAGGCAAAATTATTACTGAATTGGTAATTCAGTATATTACTTAATCTGAGTTGTGGCAAAAGAATTCACATAGAACTGAAAACTGACTTAACAGAACAAAAATTTTTTGTGATTTCTAACATTTACTCATTACTGGACTTTAAAATTCAATCCTGGGAATGAGTACAAATTATAAATTTAAAATATGTAAAAGTTAAAAAAATATTTTTAACATTATGAGAGATTAAATCATTTGCTGGTTTGAAACAATTATGTTTTAATCAACTATTTCTTTTAAACTCTCTAAAACCAGTTTGAAATGCTTACTCTCTTCTTCTTCATTTCCCTGGCTAGAAGGCTCACTGCAGCCTCCACCTCCTGGGCTCAAGCAATCCTCCCACCCCAGCCCCCTGAGTAGCTGGGACTACAAGTGTGCTCCGCCAAGCTAATTTTTCTATCTTTTGCGACAAGGTCTCACCATGTTGCCCAGGCTGGTCTTAAGCTCCCGGACTCAAGTGATCTGCCCACCTCGGCCTCTCAAAATGCTGGGGTTACAGGCATATGCCACTGCACCCGGCCTTCTTCATTTCAAACTCTGCTTACCTTGGAATGTGTCCATATTCTGGTACAGCAGAATGGGGCAGTGCATTAAAAGGTACTCCAAATATTTTACCCTAAAATGACAAATTCAGTTACTCTAACACAAATATTAGGCATAATATCAGTTTTCTTAAACTTTAGGCAAATTAAAGAACTCAGGAAATTAAAAAAAATCAGAAATAAATGATAAACTATCAATCAAGACAAAAATAATCATTTCAAGTGCATTTGATAACAAATAATTACTATATTAGATAGTATGCTGAGTGCTGGGAGTACAAAGATGGCCAAGATAATGTCATTCCCCTCAAATAATCTAGTAAACTCAAGTTTCCAATCTGATCATAAAGTCAATTTGGTTAGTGGTTAGTCAGTAAATTCTTAAAACAGAATTTGGTCCAAAACACTAACATTTACCCCAAAACACTATAGGTTGCTTTAATGATCTTATAAATACTTACTAGATACTTTCTTTTGGTCACCTTATAAATACTTACACAAAAGACTAAGTCAATTGAAAAGCAAAACACTAATTCCTGTCATTCATTGAGTCTTCCTAAAATTACATCAGAAGAGGTTATTTTTATACCTAATACATTTTCCACCTTCTATAGAAGAGTGCTTTTCAAACCATGCCCTGCGGTAAGCAAGGCAGGAGTGTGCAAATATTTAAGTCAAACTTCATTTAACTAGCTGGAAACCCATTTTTAAAACCTCACATTCAAATTTTAATACACTGAAGATCCCAAGAGTAAAGTTGTTTGTTGGTTAACTTGAATGTTTTTGCACACTGAAGAATAAAGAATCTGCCACTATCTTTGTGCGTGCATTCGAACCTCTTAAAAATGTGTCGCTTTCCACAGCACTGAAAGGCAAATTCAAGCCTGTAAATGTCTGGTTATTCAAACTTAAGTGGGTATGCATAATCTCACATGTTAATTTAGTTTACATGCATCTGCTCTGTGAATGCTGAAGTACTTTTTTTGATGTCACAAGTTATCAACCAAGAAGCATTTATGTTTTATGAGCATTATATTTAACTTTACAATAAAAATCACTCAGCATTGTCAATGACGCAACACAGTAACAAAATTTTACTAATTCCCTTTCAAGCACCTGGCTCCAATTAATTTACAAATATTGTAAGCTGAAAAGACAGTATAGTATGGTAAGGGCTTAAGAGAGTAGGCTCCTGAAGGCAAAAATGACAGGTGTATTTTTTTTGAGACGGAGTCTCACTTTGTGGCCCAGGCTGGAGTGCAGTGGCACAATCTCGGCTCACTGCAAGCTCCGCCTCCCGGGTTCACCCATTCTCCTGCCTCAGCTTCCCGAGTAGCTGGGACTACAGGCGCCCGCCACCACGCCCAGCTAATTTTTTTGTATTTTTAATAGAGACGTGGGGCGGGGGGGGTTCACCGTGTTAGCTAGGATGGTCTCGATCTCCTGACCTCGTGATCCACCCTCCTCGGCCTCCCAAAATGCTGGGATTACAGGCGTGAGCCATCGCACCCACAAAAATGCCAGGTTTTACATCTTAACTCTTGTACTTAACAGCTGAGTGACCTGGATCAAATTAACATTCTGTTCCTCGGTATCCTCACACAGATCCTAAGTCATAGAGGTGTAGGAAGAATTAAATAAATTAAAACATACAAAACACTTGTATCAGTGTCTGACACACAGTAAGCATTCAAAAAATATTTGTTAATCTTATGATCATCATTTTAAGCTGAACTATTTAAAAAAATGTTAGTATGGGCAACCCCTTTATTGGGTAAATCAGAATTTTCTTGATACTGTGCAGCCAAACCAAATGTAAAAATAAACCAGATACTTAGGCTGGTAAGTCTACTTCTGTTATATATAACTAGAATTCAGCGTGTTTTTTTCCTTAAGTCTTATTATTTAGAATAACTGGCTTCACAAGTAACCACTAAAATTTAATCTCATAAAATGTTTTTAAAACTTAAAACTACAGTTAGCTAACAAACACCAGTCGGCTAAAGAAATTGTTTTCAAACAAACTATCCCATTAGATCTCATAACACAATGATCTTCTACATTTCTTCATTAGAATATTCTTATAAGTGTTTCTAGCTGAATTTATATGGCGTGATTACCAATTAGGAGGCAGACCAATGATATGACAACTATCATTAGATGAAGTGGCATGTGACACGCACTGTGCTAGGCCTACATAAAGAGCTTCACTTTTTAAAAATCCCTAAATAATCCAAGGAGAAATACGTTCCCACTTTATAGATATAAAACTGAAGCTTAGGGAAATCAAACAAGCAGCCCAAGTTTACAGATGTAGTAGGGGTGGAACAGCACTCAAACTCAGGTCTATCCGACTCTGAAAACAGGCAACAGTTTTTCTTGTTAAGGGGTGAAAAGGACAGGTGCAGTGGCTCACGCCTGCAATCCCACCACTTTGGGAGGCCGAGGCGGGCGGATCACGAGGGCAGGAGATCGAGACCATCCTGGCTAACACAGTGAAACCCCGTCTCTACTAAAAAATACAAAAAATTAGCCAGGTGTGGTGGCGGACGCCTGTAGTTCCAGCTACTCGGGAAGCTGAGGCAGGAGAATGGCGTGAACCCGGGAGGCGGAGCTTGCAGTGAGCCAAGATCGCGCCACTGCACTCCAGCCTGGGCGACAGAGGGAGACTCCATCTCAAAAACAAAAAAAAAAAAAGGAAAAGAAAAGAAAAGGGGTGAAAAAAAGTCCATATACAAACTCTTCCATATACTTACAAAATCAGCTACATTTGAGATCTTGGAAAGCCAGTTTTACAATCAGAAAAAAATCACTGTAGCTTTTTAAATGTAAGTACATGTATTGCCATTAATTTGCTACCAACAAAAATAACTTCTCCAAAGTTTATCAGCGATTAAGAGACACACATATTACTTTTGTTAGTGGTTTTCTTCTCCAAGCACTTTTTTTTAGAAACCATAAACTATTAAAAGCAACGTATATTAACTTTATTAGCTTGTCTCCAAGTACTAGGAAGTACCATATAAATTAGGCACATAAATTTAAAATAAAATGCTTTACATTCAGCTTATTTTTCACAATGCAATTCCTGATTATGTGGCAGAGCTATTAAAATCTCATTCAAAATCCCTTTATTTCAACCACCAAAACATCAACAACTTCTCAATTATTCCACTCTGGCTTCTCAATTTACTCATACAAAAAAAAAAATTGCTGTCCCAAAAGTATGATATGGCCAAGCAGCAAATCTGTTTCCCAAATTAGTGAATATGCAGTCATCATTTGAAGCCTATTTCTAATGTTCTGTCATACTTCATCTACAGATTCATGTAGAAAATGCACTGGTCTCCCTTGTCCCTCTACAACCTTACTCTAAAACAAGGGTGGAGGGGTAGAGTTTTTGTCCCTCCCAACGTACTACCTGTTCCAAATACAGTAAGCTGGCAATATCCGGAGACATTTTTAATCGTCACAACTGAGAGATGCTACCAGCATCTAGTGGGTAAAAGACAGACATCCCGCTAAACATCCCACAATTCACAGAACAGCATTTCGTCTTCCCCTAACAAAAATTATCTAATCCAAAATGTCAATAGTGCTGAAGTTGGAAAATCCTGCAACTTTCTCTCAATGATCAAAAATCCTTGGGGAAAAAAAAAACAAGAATGTCACTTTTTAAATATCAGCAATCGATCATCTGAACTGAATTACACACCTAACCATTCTTTTTGATACACAGAGTGAACATTTTAGCACGATCTGCTAATAAGTGATGATAAAGGGTGTGCCCTTTCTTTTAAACCTAAATCCCTTTTCACAGAACTTACCCCTATTTCCGTGGCTGCTGTTTCATGTCTCCTGCGATCGCACTGCCCACGGACACCCTTCACCTTAATACCATAGAAGGCCCGCAGATGCTGCAACAGGGCCAACTTCACCAGCCTCTGATCCCACATTCCGGATACGTCGATAACTCTGAGGCAGGATGCAGGTCCTGACCCTCGTTCGCCACCAAGTCTTCCAATTTCCAAACGCTCTCAAATTTGAACTCCGCTCGGCTGCTTTCCGGCCCCGTCTGGCACTTCTGCGGCCCCGACCCCCGGCCACTTCCACGGCTTTTCCTTGATCCTCACTCACATCCACTTACACAGACCCGCTTCTCTTAGCCCTTTGATCCAGCCACACCTCACTCTTCCTTCACTTACAGCGACCTTCTTTCTGGTCACCCAATGCTTTCAGCTACTCACATAGACTTCTTTCTGATTCTTTCGGTTTCTCGCCTATTGCCAGATTCTCTCCACTTCCTGCTACTTCCAACGATCCCCCTTCCTCCAAACCTTACTGTCCGTCTGGTTCGCTCTGAAATGTGAAGAGAACCCTTCTCGCTCCTCCAGCCCCAGCAGGCTCAACTGGGCGCTCGCCCCCGCCCTAGCCTGGCCGCCGGACCAGCCGGCTGCTCAGGCAACTCTTCCAGTCCCGGTGCCCGCCCGGGCTGGTAGCCGCCGTCACCCCGTCTCACAGGCTGCTCGTTCCCTCCCCCATCAGCCTGCCTCTACCTCCCGGCCTGCACATCCCGGTGCGTTCACTGAAGCCAAGCCGTTAGCCTCATGCTTCCGCCCCCAGCTCCACTGCAGACACCCGGAGCCACCACGGGGGGGTCACACCCGCAGTTTCAGCCCAGGCTCAAATGGCAGCGCCAAACAGCGCTCCACATCTGATTGGTCCACTCCTCTTTTCAAAATCAGGACCCCGGAGGGTGGCCGAGAGCTGCCTGTCTAGATAGGTGCGGGCGAAGGGGTGTAACGGGCAAACCCAGCAAACATGAAAAGCAGGATGAGTTTCACTTGTTCCTTCAAGGCCAGTTTTTGGGGCGGGGGAATACTGTTTAAAGGTTTTTAAATACACCTGACCTGCGCCTCAGACCATTCACAGTATTTGAGGAAATGTAAGAGACAACTTATTCCCGTTCTTTTCCGAGCTCGGCTGTCGCTGAAGGCCCTCTTACGAAGAAACCGTTCTACGGAAGCCCAGTTGAGACAACTTGAGACAGGATTCAGAAACGCTGATTTTAGTAACCTTAACCCTCGGCCTTTGGTGGGAACTTCGGCTCTGTGGGAATTAGTCTTTGCGGGACTGATGGTGATGCTGAAATCTTATTGCGTAGGAAATTAAGTACAACAAAGAAGACCCGTCGTGAGAGGAGAGTGCGGAAGAAATGCGAAGTCTACGGGAGGTGGCAGCTGCAGAAGCTTGGTGTTGGATTTGGAGTTAGGAGACCGGGAGGAGCCCAGCTTCCGGTCCAGACGGTTATCTTGTTGACTTGCACGACTGCAAACGCCCTGAGCTGCTTTTGCAGTCTGAAACATCAGCGATCCCATCAAAATATTCTGTTTCTTGGGATATAAGAAACATCCCAAGGCGGGCTGTAGAGCGAGAGATTTGGACTCGATTTAAATACAGACAAAATAGTATGCATTTACTAACACCACATCTCACCCCCACGAAACTTGGTAAGGGCAGCAACAGAACTTTATCTGCCATATGCACTCCTGTATTCCTATTACCAAATAGTGCCAGGGACTAAGTGAATATTTGCCCAATGAATGAGTTTTAAGTAGGAAACGTTTGCATAGAATCATTTTGTTTCTTTTGGAGTTCAAATCTTCGGATATTTTACCCTTCCCAATCCAAAGAAAAGTCTCTGAGTGAAGAGATGGGAACAAAATGTAAGTTAAATATGTTGCTTTAACAACTGTTTATTGAACTCGTGCTATATACTGTAGAATGATGAGCAAAACCAGGCACAGTTTCGGCCCTGGAAGAGGAAAGGCAGGCATATATTTATCAAGTAAGTACATTAATGGCGGCACTTATCAGTTGAGAGAAGTGCGCTAAGGAAAGGAATATGATTCTATGATAGCGTATAATAAAAGATCCTTGACCGGGGAGGGGAAACGTACCAGTGATTAACTGATCTGAAGAATCAGTATAAATTGACTTTGTAGAAAGTATAGGTGGATGGCTGAGTGGGACCATCATTCAGGAAGCAAATGCCTGCAGAAAAAAACATCAATTTTAACAAGAAACAGTGTATCAGAGATGAAACTGAACCTATTCCTTGTCTTTTCTTCTTGCTTCAGACATAACTTTAAAAAATTGCTTACGCTGTCTTTAGCCACATCTCTTCCCCAAACTCCACACTGTTCTGCGTTTTAGCCGTCTCAAATTTCCTTTTCTTAAAGACCCATGACAATCTTCAGTGTTGTGTCTTTTTCTACGTCATAATCCTTTTTTAAAGCTGAGCTCTTTTTGTTTTTCGTCTCCTTTCTCTTTTTTTTTTTTTTTTTTTTTTTTTTTTTTGTGACGGAGTCTCGCTCTGTCGCCCAGGCTGGAGTGCAGTTGCACAATTTCGGCTCACTGCAAACTCCACCTCCCACGTTCAAGCAGTTCTCTGCCTCAGCCTCCCAAGCAGCTGGGATTACAGGCGTCTGCCAGCAGGCCCGGCTAATTTTTGTATGTTTAGTAGAGACGGTGTTTCACCATTTTGGCCAGGCTGGTCCTGAACTCCTGACCTCGTGATCCACCCGCCTCGGCCTCCCAAAGTGCTGGGATTACAGGTGTGAGCCACCACATCCGGCCCTTCCTTTCTCTTAAGATGAAAATATTGGTTCTTTTTTCCTACACACAAGGAGGCAATGAAAATATTGGTTCTTTTCATTGCCTTAATTATTATTAATGTTACTATTAATAAATATTAATAGTAACATAATGGTTATTTGCTTCATCTACCTATATTCACAGGTATGTAAAAACAACAATAGCAATAACAGGATAAAGAATAAAAACAGAATAACAATAGAGATATTGCTAACAGATAAATGAAGTTTAACTTTGCATGTACTTCCTTTTTTCTAAAATTGTATCCAACTAAGGATGTAAAATCAAGATACTGTGTTTTAAATGAACTGGGCATAATTATTCTTTTTGGTTATATATGGATGTACTGTAGTTTATTTAGCCAGGCCCTTACTAGTGGATATGTGGACTATTCCCAGTCTTTTGCTATACAAAAGTTTCCTTGTGCATATATAATATGCTTTTGCCAGTGGGTCTTTAGCATAGATTTCTATAAATGGGATTGTTAGGTCAAAGGGTAAAAGAACATGTTATTTTGTTTAATTCTGCCAAATTCCCCTTCATAGGGGTTGTGCAGTTTTGTATTCACACCAGCAGCATTTCCTGTTTCTCTGCAGCCTCTCCAATAGAATGAATTGTCAAACTCCTAGATGTTTGCTAAATCGATATGTGGGAAATGTTATCAAAGTGTAGTTTTTTTTTTTTTTGAGACGGAGTCTCACTCTGTTGCCCAGGCTGGAGTTCAGTGGCTCTATCTTGGCTCACTGCAACTTCTGCCTCCCAGGTTCAAGTGATTCTCCTGCCTCAACCTCCTGAGTAGCTGGGACCACAGGCAATCACCACCACGCCTGGCTAATTTTTGTAATTTTAGTAGAGACAGGGTTTCGCCATGTTGGCCAGGCTGGTCTCGAACTCCTGACCTCAACCTATCCACTCACCTCGGCCTCGCAAAGTGCTGAGTTTACAGGCATGAGCGACTGCGCCCAGCCTTCAGTATAGTTTTGTATTTATCTTTTTGTCAATGAAGTGGAACATTTTTTCAAATGATGCATGCATACGACAAAGTATTATGAAGCTGTTAAGGAATGTGGAAGATATATGACTATGATGTGAAGTGAAGTGAAAAAGCAATGCATAAAAGAGTGTATATAGTATGCTGCCTTTGGTATACGGGGTGGTAGAGATACATATACAAATGGATACTTACTTATATTTTCAAAAATAAACAATAGAAAGGTAAACCAAAATCTAATAAAAATGGTAAACAATAGGAGAAGATCAAGAACAGGTGAAGTAGAAAATAGGAATGGAAGCTAGACCTCTCTGAATATATCTTGTTTTATATATAAACTTGGAACCCTGTAAATGTGTAACATGTTTAAAATACAAAATAAGGCCAAAATAAGGTGGTGGCTCACGCCTGTAATCCCAGCACATTGGGAGGCCGAGGTGAGCGGATCACCTGAGGTCAGGAGTTCGAGACCAGCCTGGCCAACGTGGTGAAACCCCGTCTCTACTAAAAATACAAAGATTAGCCATGCGTGGTGATGCATGCCTGTAATCCCAGCTACTTGGGAGGCTGAGACAGGAGAATCGCTTGAACCTGGGAGGCGGAGGTTGCAGTGAGCCAAGATCCGGCCACTGCACTTCAGCCTGGGTGACACAGTGAGACTCCATCTAAACAAAATAATAATAAATAAAATAAAATAAAATGTAAAAGCAACTCCTAAAATGGAAAACAAAGTGCAATAAATCAATCTTTTCACCTGTTTAAGGGCTATTTGTACTTCTTTTTATTTAAATTGTCCATCTTTTACTTTCAGGATGGTCTTTAAAAATATTTTAGAAGCTTTTTATATATTAGTCCCTCATGATATAAGCTGCATATATTTTTTAGACTTTTTGCCTTGCTTTTTTGTTTGTTTAAATTATAGTTAATCTCTTCCCTTAATGCTTCTGGATTCTGATTATAGATAGGAGTATTTTCCCCACTTCTGAGTTATAAAGGTATTCACTCTTGTGAATTCTAGTACTTAATTTTCTAGTACTGCTATGTTTTCATTTGTTAATGTTAGATCTCTGAGGCTGGAGTGCAGTGATGCGACCTCTGCTCACTGCAACCTTCACCTCCCGGGTTCAGATGATTCTCCTGTCTCAGCCTCCTGAGTAGCTGAGACTACAGGTGCATGCCACCACACCTGGCTAATTTTTGTGTTTTTAGTAGAGACGAGGTTTCACCATATTGGCCAGGCTGGTCTTGAACTCCTGACCTTAGGTGATCTGCCTGCCTCTGCCTCCCAAAGTGCTGGAATTACAGGCGTGAGGCACCGCGCCCGGTCCTTAAATTTGGAATTTATCCAGTGTAGAAAGAATGGATCCAATTTTATGTGTTACCCCACACAGCTATCCAGCTGTAGATATTGTAATTTTATTTCATTTAGTGAACTCCCACACCTACTTCTAAAAGTAGGAAAACACTACTGAAAACCTCACTGAGTTCCCTGACGATGAAAAGGGAAATCTTTCGTTAAGCATTAGGCTTTGCTTTTAGTGCCACTAGATGGCACACATCCTTTTCCTTAGATGTTAGTTCACCTAACCCTCATTTCTGTGAAATCAGTCCATAAAGTGTCTGCCAAAGGGCCTTCCTGAACCTTTTACCTGCATCCCTGCTGGAAATAAGATGATTTGTGCAACTTTCAAATTAGGTCCGAGTTTTTTTCTGTAAAACCAAAATGATTGTTCCTAGAATCACTGCCTCTAGGGCCTGGCACATTCCACAGACACATTGTTCCATTTATTTATTTATTTATTTGAGACGGAGTCTCGCTCTGTCCCCCAGGCTGGAGTGCAGTGGTGTGATCTCGGCTCACTGCAAGCTCTGCCTCCCGGGTTCACACCATTCTCCTGCCTCAGCCTCCCGAGTAGCTGGGACTATAGGCGCATGCCGCCACGCCCGGCTAATTTTTGTATTTTTAGTAGAGACGGGGTTTCACCGTGTTAGCCAGGATGGTCTTGATCTCCTGACCTCGTGATCCGCCCGCCTCAGCCTCCCAAAGTGTTGGGATTACAGGCGTGAGCCACCGCGCCCGGCCACATTGTTCCATTTATTAATAAAACAGAAATGTCTATCATATTCTGTCCTAAATGTGGACTAAGATGGAAAATAGTACAGTGATTTCCTGAGGTCACTGGGCTATCACCAGAATAGTAGACACTGTGGTGCTTCACCTAGATCCCCCTCCAGGCTGAGGTGCTCACTCGCCCCACTTGCAGAAGTGTTGGTTCCTCATGGCTCACAACAAAGTCCCCCTCTGAGAGCTGCTCCATGAAAAGGACCTGCCTCACCCCAAGTGATGCCTTCCCCTGGGCAGTCTACGTTCCGTGCCTGGTTAATATGGGGTTTCATAGGCCTGGCCCCCATATCTCAAGACAACGGAAGGACTTCCCAGCTCTAGAGCTTCCTGAAGGAGCAGCTGAGATGGTGGCAACTGTTTCACAGGCTGCCCAATCCTGTTTCTTTTACTCCTTTACTTGTGTTGTTCCAAGAGCCTTCCCAAGTAAGCCTCCTGTGGGGAAATCTCCATCTCAGTACCTGTTTTTCAGGCAACCCAACTTAAGATACAGGGCCAATGGATTTCCCTAAACAGTGCTCTAAACTAGAGCCTTGCTATTCAAATACGGCATAGGTATCGCCTGGAAACTATAGCCATGTGTCTCTTAATGACAGAGATACCTTCTGAGAAATGCATTGTTAGGCAATTTTGTCATTCTGCAAACATCATAGAGTGTACTTACATCAACCTAGATGGTGTAGCTGACTACACACACACCTAGTTATGTGATATAATCTATTGCTCCTAGGCCACAAACCTGTACAGCAGATTACTGTACTGAATACTGTAGGCAATTGTAACACAATACCAAGTATTTTATGTATCTTAACAGATTTAAAATTTGTGATATAACATTTAAATTTTTTTCTTTTTTTTTTTTTTCTTTTTTGAGATGGAGTCTTGCACTGTCACCAGGCTGGAGTGCAGTGGCACAATCTCAGCTCACTGCAACCTCTGTCTCCCGGGTTCAAGCGATTCTCCGACCTCAGCCTCCCGAGTAGCTAGGACTATAGGCGTGCACCACCACGCCCAGCTAATTTTTGTATTTTTAGTAGAGATGGCGTTTCGCCATGTTGGCCAGGGTGGTCTTGATCTCTTGACCTTGTGATCCACCCACCTCGGCCTCCCAAAGTGCTGGAATTACAGGTGTGAGCCGCTGCGACCGGCCACAGATTTAAAATTTTACCTGCGTAGGGTACTTACGAGTGGAGCTTGCAGGACTGGAAGTTGCTCTGGGTGAGTCAGTGAGTGGTGAGTGAATGTGAAGGCCTAGGACCTTACTGTACATTGTTATAGACTTTATAAACAGCATATACTTAGGCTACATTAAGTTTATTAAAATTTTTTCCTTCAGTAATAAATTAAGGTTAGCTTACTATAACTTTTTAATTTCATCAGCTTTTAAATTTTCTTAACTTTTGACTCTTTTGTAGTAATAGCTCAAAACACAAACACATTGTACAGCTGTACAAAAATATTTTCTTTCTATCCATATTCGGTAAGATTTTTTTCTATTTTTTTTTAATTTTAAACTTTTTTGTTAAAAACCAAGACATGGCTGGGCGTGGTGGCTCACACCTATAATCCCAGCACATTGGGAGGCCGAGGCAGGTGGATTGCTGGAGTCCAGGTGTTTGAGACCAGCCTGGACAACATGACGAAACCCCGCCTTTACAAAAAAATATGAAAAATAGCCAGGCATAGTGGCACACACCTATAGTCTCAGCTACTTGGGAGGCTGAGGTGGAAGGATTGCTTGAACCTGGGGAGCAGAGGTTGCAATGAGCTGAGATCGCACCACTGCACTCCAGCCTGGGCGATAGAGCGAGACCCTGTCTCAAAACCAAACAAAACCAAAATGAAGATACAAACTCACACATTAGCCTAGGCCTAGGCAGGGTCAGGATCATCTATATCCACTGGTCCCATAAGATTATAATGGAGTTGGGGCCTGGCGCAGTGGCTCATGCCTGTAATGCCAGCACTTTGGGAGGCCAAGGCAGGCAGCTCACGAAGTCAGGAGATTGAGACCATCCTGGCTAACACGGTGAAACCCCGTCTCTACTAAAAAATAGAAAAAAATTAGCCAGGTGTGGTGGTGGGCGCGTGTAGTCCCAACTACTCGGGAAGCTGTGAGGCAGGAGAATGGCGTGAACCCGGGAGGCGGAGCTTGCAGTGAGCCCAGATCGTGCCACTGCACTCCAACCTGGGCGACAGAGCAAGAGTCTGTTTCAATAAAAAAAAAAAAAAAAAAAAAAAAAAGATTATAATGGAGTTGGAATGTTCCTATTGCCTAGTGATGTTGTTGACGTATAGCATCACTGTAGCACAGTGCATTACTCACATCACATATTTGTGGTGGTCTGTGGGGAGCTATTCCAGAAAAAAGCCTTGTTATCATAGGAGATGATAGCTCCTTGTGTGTTATTGCACCTGAAGACCTTCCAGTAGGACAGAATGTGGAGGTGGAAGACAGTGATAGATATATATGTAGTCCACTGTTGACCGAAACATTGCTATGTGGTGCATGAAAGGAAGTAACTCAGGGCCGGGCGCAGTGGCTCACGCCTGTAATCCCCGCACTTTGGGAAGCCGAGGAGGGTGGATCACGAGGTCAGGAGATCGAGACCATCCTGGCTAACACAGTGAAACCCCGTCTCTACTAAAAAATACAAAAAAATTAGCCGGGCGTGGTGGCGGGCGCCTATAGTCCCAGCTACTCCTGGGAGGCTGAGGCAGGAGAATGGCGTGAACCCGGGAGGCGGAGCTTGCGTGAGCGGAGATCACGCCACTGCACTCCAGCCTGGGCCACAGAGCAAGACTCTGTCTAAAACAAAAAAAAGAAGTAACTCAGGCCCCACCCTAGACCTACTGAATCAGAATCTGCATTTTTATGATTCTCAATGATTCTCTTATGATTCTCATTTTATTTTTATTCCATGACTTTTTAAAAAAAAATCCCGTAACTTCTTTTTCATAACTTTTTTTGTAACTTTTCATAATACTGTTTTCTACTTTTTTCCCAGAAGTTTTTTTGCCACAACGTTTTTACATTTTTTATCCCATAACGTTTTCACCCCATAACTTTTTTTAATCCCATAACTTATTAAATCTTGTGTTCTTTTAAGAAACACTTGCATAGTTATATTACAACTTTGTAAAAATGAAACACATTATCTCGTGCCAAGCATGCCCAGCATTTGCACAGTATCAATACCTTTAAAACTATAGTTTTGAAGAAACGCAAAATAAAATTTTAAGGCAAAAACAACACTTAGAAACAATTTAATAATTTATTACATTACAGTGGCATCACACCAGCAGTCAATAAGGCCACTCTAGGGAAAAATCTTTCAGTATTTCCATGACACATTCTGTTTACAATAATTCATAAACTGGTAAAATTCATTCTAAGAAAACTTGGCAAATAAAACTTTGGACTGGAATTGGCATTTCTTTCTCTGCTTTTCGTTCCCACCATTTCTTTCTTTTATACTACAGTATTCATATTTTAAAATGTTTTAAATTATTTCAGAACATTAAGATAGCAGTTACATTTTTTAATAGTTATATTATTTTAAAATGACTCTTTAAAATAAAGTTTTAGAGAAACTATATTATGGATAGGGCTGATTTACATTTTCAAATTTTCTAAAATCAGCTTTGGTTTTAGAGCTGATTTTTTTTTTCATTTCTGGAAAATTATCAGGTTTAATCAAATACTTTTAAAATGATTATTATATATTGCCATCTTTAAATAGGTGTTTTGATTCTTCCTACAGAAATTAAAATGTATTCAGTGGAACTCACAGTTTAAAATTCTATGTTTCTGATGAACTCTAACATTCCAATGTTGCCTTCTAAGCAAACTGAAAGCTGCCTTATACTGAATGAGGAAGAGCACAAATACTCGGCTGAATGAGGTATCGCAAAAGACTGCATGCACTTTGGAGAAAGACTTGAGTTATTGTCATACAATTTCCATTCTTTTTAGCTTTTTCTTAAATATATGACAAATACCTACACAAAGAGTGGTATTTCAGTCAATATAGTAAATTTATTTTCCAGACTGACCTTCAGCTTAAATATGCCAGTGTGTGATTTAATCCATAGGCACCTCATGAACACATTATTGTCAGATTGGTTACAGATGCTAAACACTATCCGAAGGTCATTCTAGTCACTGATATTTATCAGGGTAAAAGTGAAGTGATTTCAACGATAAAAGTACCTTTGCAATAATTTATCAATGTATTAGATAAACCCAGTTTCAGAATGATAAAAGAAAAAACGTTAGACCAAATAATGTGGCTGATTAACAGTGGTCCGATTTCTAGCCCGAGGGTTTAAAATGCTCTTAAAGTAACTGTCTTTAAACTGAACTCAAAGAATGCAAAAGCGGCAAGTTCAGAAAATAAAAGGCGAGAACAGGACTTTAAGTGCATTTTAAACCCACGGGCTACAATTCGTACCACTGTTAATTAGCCGCATTATTTGGTCTAAGATTTTTTCTTTATCATTCTGAAACTGGGTTTATCTAATACATTGATACATTCATAAAATTTGGAAGAGTCAGTGGAAGTCACAAGGACCGAATATTTGCACTCTTTCAGTGAATGCCAGCAAATCTGTTATTCCATCGGTAAAATCGTATTGTTGCTCTCCTGTTAATGTCATATTTATAGAAGTATCATGAGGATGCCAAATGCTAAAAATGGAGATGATCTAGTAACTAGAAATCCCCACCGCAGGGAGCACACACACCTATCTCCCTGCATCCTAACAATGTGATGTGTTTTGGAACACAGACATTAGAACTTCATGAAGTTTGAACTGTTGAGTCTTTCCCAAGCATCATCAAGTTACGATTTAGGCAATATACAACTGAAATGCATTCATTCATCATGCATAGGCACAATCACATAAATATCGCACAAAATATGTCCCGAACAGAAACCCAGAGGTACAAAAACATATTTCACTTTGTAAAGAAGTCTGTGAGAAAATATAGCTCTGTGATTGTATAGACACGTTTCCTGATAATACATTGACATTCACGAACAGTAGATTGCACTGCAGTTTGTACACATTTTAAGTTTCATAAACTTCTCCTTGATTTTCAAAGAGAGTACAATACCGTCTACTAAAACTCCTTTTTGTTTCAACTAAGTATCTCACATATATTAGTTTATAATAATGTTTCTATTATTTTTTAAAGTGTTGTCCATTCAAGGAAAAAGAAGTAAATTCCTATGTCAGAGTAACCAAGGTGGTTGAAGAATAGGTATTAGCCAAAGAGGTCTAGATGGTAAAATCAATCTTCAAGCCTCAAAGAATCTCCGTGAACAGAGAGGAATGCCAGGTGTCACACAGCTTTCCTTCACTCTAATTCATTCTTGACTAGAGCCTGTATGCCTGTTCCAGGGACGTTTGAACTCATAAAGGATTTCTTATGATCTTCACTAAATACATTAAGAAGAATGCCAACCAGTGCCCTTTTGTGTACTGGGACATGTAGTCATGTGATTAAAACAGGTAACATGAACTCTGACTTTAAAATGTATTGTAGATACAAATGCTCTAAGCTAGGAAAGGATTTCCACATCCACAGTCAATGATGGGAACCTTTCATTCCTCAGAAATAAGCCCTTTTTAGGTCATCGAAAAAGAGTGCAACTGCTGCAGCTCATGATGCAGTATCTTCATGAGCCCAGAGCACATACAAATCCTAAGGGAACCACCATAATACACTGCTAATTCCTGGCACCGGAACAGATGAAACACACTCTATCCTGCACGTACCTGCCAGAGGAGGCCACTTTCCTCTTCTGTGAGATTTAAAAAGCTCCCCCAAAAGGTTATCACTCCCATCACCAATACACAGAAAATGGAGGAAAGGCTGTTTCCAGTTCTTGGCCTTTAAACAACTCTAAATGTCAGTACTCATAGTGGCATATTACAAAGTAATAAACAGTGCACACTTGGGGGCAAACTACATATTGAGCTAATGAAGAGCTCACTGTGATTAAGATTAGATCAAACAACAGCAGAACATAGGCAAATTTTGTCTGAATTCTGTAGTGAATGTACATGCTGCAATAACATTAAAAAAGCATGGCAGCCTATTCCAAACCAAAGAGAACAGTTTTGGGCAAAGAGTGGGTCTTTGTGTGTTTGAACTCCCACCACGTAAGGGCAAACTCGATATGCACGCTAATGACCTACAATTATGAAATTAAAAAAGAAAAATGCTAAAGGATGCCAGAGTGAACATCAGTGAGAGCCACAGACACCCACTCTCTTTTAACTTTTTACAAATAAACTTAAAACTATAAATTAGAAAAACAAATAATCATGAGTGACTCTAACATTCAAAGGAAGTAAATGAATTGTGTAGGAGATTAACCCCATAACTTGGTTTCTTATTTAAAAATTTCTTGAGCAGCTCTTTGAGGATGGTGATGTTTATCTCCTTCTTCTTGGCAGCCAAGCCCAGCACAACAATGGCACACAGCAGTTGCTGCCCAAGCCTGGGTGCTCCTGGTGGTCCTGCACGATCGGCTGTGCAGTAGGCTTGTCAAGGAGAGGATCCTCCCTGGCCTCTCCTTGGGCAGAGGAGGTGAGGCTCACCTCACAAAGATCTTTGGAGAGAGGGAGGCAGGGATCTGAGCACAGTGGGAGCCCCCTCTTCCTGCCTGCCCACCCCACCTGAGGGCTCTACTCACCACCATGCTTGTCTGCAGCCCCAAGCTCCTGGGGGGCTGGGGCTCCTGGACCGGGCTCATCAGCAGAGTTGTGGGCAGCGGCCAGGAATTTTCTGTGCCCATTGTTGTAGTTGCTGTAAGCCGCAATACCATCTGCTGCAGCTCCAGCAGCTTCACCTGGAGGGAGGGGTGCTCAGCTGCCATGCCGCTGCCTGCGCCCACCCTCACACCCACCCCCACCCCCACCCCCACAGAGATGTTGCACACCCTACCTTCATCTCCTCCCTGAGCTCCAGCCTGATGGTGTCCTCCTCCCAGTGCCGCATCTTTGGCACGGCCCCCTGGTTCTGATAAAAGGTGATGGGTTTTCCTGCGGGAGGACAGGGCTCAGACGCTGGGGCCCCTCCGACGGCCCTGTAGCTCCCCCTGCCGTGCCCTGGCCTCCCACTCACTGATGGCATCTGTCTCGCCAGTGGTGGATGAAGCAGAGTTCTTTTTTCTTCACCAGCTCACTCAGGTCTGCCTTCTCCTCCAGGTGGTCCATAAAGCTGCTCTGGAGCCAAAATATTGCAGTCACATCTCGGCAGCGACCTGCCCTCAGGTGGCATTTTCAAGTCATGGAGAAGGTGGAGGTGAGTCCTGGCATGGGCCAGCTTCTCCGTGACTTCCTGCAGGGCCCAGTGGGTCTCCCCACTCACAGACTCGCCCCCAGGCCCTGGGGCTCCAGGGCCTCTGGCTGCCTCTGGCTCCTTCTGGGCCGAGGCCACCGGGTGAGCCAGGCGCTGGCAGCACACCCTCTGCTCTTTCACCTGCTCTTGTAACTGTGCCTGCTTCTCCTGGGCACTAGCTCCAGCGGACTTGAAAAATGCCACCTGAGGGCAAGATGTGAGCATTCTTCTAGGGGCATACACAGAAGAAATGGGGCAGAGAGGTGGAGCGCAGCCCCTTCCCTTGGAGCCTCAGAGAGTGCACCTGTTGGCCACAGGTGAAATGGAGTCTGACCACTGGCTCTCGGAAGGGGTGAGGGTCCAGAGAAATCAGAAGGCAGGGAAACGAAGAGCATAAAGGGGTCTTGGAGGGACCACAGAGAAAGGTGGCAAAATGGGTGCAGGGGGGAGTCAGGCTCACCATGGCCTCCCTGCTCTCCGGGTCCTCTGGGACACTCGGCATGGGCCGAGGTGCCTCCTCCCCCTCACTGTCCAGATGTTCTCCTCCGTGTCCTGTGGGGGGTGGCCAGAGGGGTCTTCAGACAACCCAACAAGGGAGGAACTGTGGGCCCACCTCTACCTCCACCCTCACTGTGTAACCCTGAGCCTGCCCCTCCCCAGAGAGGAATGAGCTGTTGTTCTTTATTTTTACTTTTAAGAATCAAGATCTTGCTATTCCGCCCAGGCACACTCCCACTACTGGTCGATGTGGGAGTTCTGACCTGCTCCCTTTCTGACCTTGGCCAGTTCAGCCACCCTTAGGCAACTTGGTGACCCCCCGCTCACAGGAGGTCACCACACTGATGCCGAACTTAGTGCAGGCACCCGGTCGGCATAATGACCAGCTGTTCTAAAGGTCTCTTCCAACTCCTCAATCCTATGCTGCTAGCAGTCCCCCCTTCCTCCTGGGGCTCTCTCCTCTTCCTCTGAGCGGTCTCCCGTACCTTCCCCAGGGAGAGCCATGAGGCTCAGCTGGGCCGTTAGCTGCTGGTTCTGCTGGCTGGCAGCTTCCAGGTGCTCCTAAGGGGCCAGGACAGAGTGAGAAGGGGTGGAGTTTGCCAGGTCGTCCCCCTCACAGCCCCATCCTCAGCAGCTCCCTCCCCTGGGTCTCCTGCAACTTTTGGCAGGCCATCTCAGCCACCGCTTTGCCCCAAGCTTCCTGCTGCTGCAGCTGGTTCATTAGCTGGGTCTGCTGCAGTCACTGCCTGTACAGCGCCTCCTTCTCACAGGTCAGCTGCTGATAGGCGGCCACCTGCTGCTGATAGGTGGCCACGTACTGCTGCAGGTGACCCAGGTAATGGTCTGGCTGCTGCTGCAGACTCTGAGCCTCTTGGCTCTTCAGCTCCACCTGCAGGAAGACCCTGGGTGTGAGGGCATGTGGTGGCTGGTTTCCAGATTCTGGGCCCATTAATAGGGTAGCGAGGGCACTGTGGGGCTCTGTCAGCTGCCCAGGCCCCTGTCCCCTTACTCCAGGCCTAAGTGACTGCCTCCCTTTCCTAGAACCCCATGCCTCCTTCCCCAGCCTCAAATCTCATACCCTCTTCTCATTTAATCCTCAGCACCTCTGTAAGGAAAATGCTAACTTCCCTTTGAAGTTAAAGAAACAGAGACTTAGAGATGCAAAGTACTTGAATGGTGACCAGTGGAACTGAGGCTGGAATCCAGTTTCAATCTAAGGAGTCTTTTTGTTTTGTTTTCAGACAAGAGTGTCACTCTGTGGCCCAGGCTGGAGTGCAGTGGTGCAATCTCAGCTCACTGCAACCTCCACCTCCTGGGTTGAAGCAATTCTCGTGCCTCAGCCTCCCGAGTAGGTGGAATTACAGGCATGCGCCACAATGTCCTGCTAATTTTTTTTTTTTTTTTTGTAATTTTAGTAGAGATGAGGTTTTACCACATTGGCCAGGCTGATCTCAAACTCCCGACCTCAAGTGATTCTCCTGCCTCAGCCTCCCAAAGTGCTGGGATTATAGGCATGAGCCACTGCACCTGGTATAAGGAGCCTGTTATAGCACTGTCTCTTCCCCTGTGATTGGGGGCTCCATGCCTCTAGCTGGGATGATGATGTCCAGACCTGAGAGGAGCCCAGGGCTACCCACCTTTAAAAGTCAGAGGCAGGAAGCAAGAAACAGTCACAGGACTGCCCTGCGGGGTGCTGTGGTCACCAGCCCCCAGGCTGGAAGCTGCCTCTGGCCTGGCACCTCCCCTCCCAAGAGGCTGCTGCCCGCCTCCCAGCCCTTCTTGGATGGGGTGGAGGTTTCCGTCTCCTTCACCTCGCCAAGCTTCTCCTGTAGCTCCTTTACTTGCTGCTCCAACTGCAGTGCGTTCTTGTTCTCATTGTTCTGGACAGAGAGAAGCAATCAGCAGCCACCCACTGCAGCTGGAGACCCCAGAACTTGGTGTCTGCCTCCCATGGCACTGGGAAGGCTGGAGGCAGGTTAGAAAAATCACCCCCTCTCTCCCACAGCCACCTGGCTCACAGGTGCCTTTAGAAGTAACATTTCATGTGAGGGCTACACTGCCCCATTTTAGAGGTGGGGAAACAAAGGCCCGGAGGGCTAGGGAGGAGGGCA